>NC_000012.12:45338915-45490431 GCF_000001405.40 Homo sapiens | reverse complement strand
GGCTATAAACCTGTATAGCAGGTTACTCTACTCAATGCTGTAGGCAATCCTAACACCATGGGAAGTATTTGTGTATCTAAACATATCTGAACATTGAAAAGGTACAGTGAAAATGCAGTATTACAATCTTATGGGGTCGCCATCGTATATGCAGTCCGTTATTGACGGGAACAATGTTATGTGGTACATGACTGTATTTCCAATAGGTAATTTGCCCAAATCTATCTGATGTCTTACAGAAATAAATGCAAATATAGTGGATAAATCTGTGCAATTGGGTTATTTCATTTGCTTTTAAAAGCCATGAGATCTGGATCAACTTGTGTGCAAGAAGATTCTCAAGTTTAGCTTCACAATGCCTATCATGTGCTTCCCCTTTTGTAAATTTCTAGCAATATTTGAGACCCTTTAGAGTTGCATACATTTGAAAACTCTCTTTGATGTCTATTCAATAAATTAAAAGATGGATGAGGCTAGGCATGGTGGCTGACACCTTAATCCCAGCACTTTGAGAGGCTGAAGTGGGAGGATGGCTTGAGGCCAGGAGTTGGAGGTTATGGTGAGCTATGATCACCCCACTGCACTCCATCCTGGATGGCAGAGCAACACCCTATCTCTAAAAAAAAAAAAAAAAAAAAAAAATTAATTGTAAAAAAGTAATCTCATACATTTAAGATTTTTATTATTAAAAATACATATGTTCATTGTAAAAATTTTGAAGTATATCAAGTAAAATATAGAAATTTTCTTTTCTTTCATTCAAATTCTATACTCCAAAGATACCCATGATTAACAATTTGAGAAGTATCCTTTCAGATTTTGTTTTGCTATGCACATAGAAACACATATGCAACTATATTTTAATTTACTTTAATCTTTATTATGAAACATTTCAAACTTTAAAAAATAGAATAATATAATTAGCCAGTATACATATATCACCCAACCTCCACTGTAATCAATTCATGGTCAATCATGTGTCATCCATGTTCCCACCTATTTTCTTCCATCCCTCACTGGATTATTTGTAAGGAAATCTAACACATAATAACATTTCATTAGTAAATACTTTAGTATTTATCTTTAAAAGATAAAAACGTTTAAAAATCATTATCACACTTAAATTTTTAAAAATTACTCTTAAATTACATCAAATACTCAGTGTTCAAATTTTTCCTATATATAGATATATCTTTTACAAAAAATGGAACTATACTAGACATAGTGCTATATAACTTGCAGAAAAATTTAAACTTTAAAAAATATTAGGCCAAAGAAATTGTTGGGATCCAATGAGACTCTTGAGCTTATGCTTTTATATCCCTCTTATTAATTCATAAAATCTTACTTATCTGAGGCCTGGCTTAAGACTTCCTTTGTAAACAGCTAGTAATATTGAACATCTTTTCATGTGCTTATTTACCATCTGTATCTTATAAATGAAACGTCTGTTTATGTCTTTGCCTGTTTTCTAATTAGATTGTTTGGGTTTATTTTGGGGTTTTTTCTTTTTACTGTGGAATTTTGAGAGTTCTTTATATATTCTAGATATGAGTCCTTTGTCAGATATGTGGTTTCCAAATATTTTCTCCCAGGCTAAAGCTTGCCTTTTCTCTCTTTTAACAGGCTCGTTGCCTAAAAACATAGCAAATGGTTTTAACTTTGATGAACTCTAATTTATTAATTTTTTCCCTTTATAGATCATGCGTTTGACGTCATGTCTAAAAAGTCATCATGATGTATTCGATCCCAAAGATTTCTCCTATTTTGTCTTCTAAAAGTTTCACAGTTTTATGTTTTCATTTAAGTTTATGATTCATTTTAAGTTTTGCATAAAGTATGAGACTTAGGTCGAAGTTCATTTTTGCTGTGCATATCCAATTGCCTCAATAGCATTGGTTGAAGAGACTACCTATTTTTTTTCTTTTTGAGACAGTCTTGTTCTGTCAGCCAGGCTGGAGTGCAGTGGCATGATCTCGGTTCACTGCAACCTCCGTCTCCTGGGCTCAAACAATTCTCCCACCCCAGCCTCCTGAGTAGCTGGGATTACAGATGTGTGCCACCACGCCCGACTAATTTTTGTATTTTTAGTAGAGATGGGGGTTTCACCATGTTGGCCAGGCTGGTCTTGAACTCCTGACCTCAGGTAATCCGCCCACCTCAGCCTCCCAAAGGGCCGGGATTACAGGCGTGAGCCACCATGCCCGGCCGAGACTACCTATTCTTCACTGAATTGTTTTTGAACCTTTGTCTAAAATCAGTTGGCTGTTTCAGTATGCAGTTATTTCCTGGTTCTCTATTTGATTCCACTTGTTTATGCTTCTATCCCTCCACTGATATCACATAGCCTTGGTTACCGTAGCTATATAGTATATCTTGAAATTGGGTAGATTTATTCTTCTAGTTTCATCTTATTTTGAAATTGTTGTAACTATTCTATTTCTTTTGCCTCTCTGTATACATTTTTAAATAATCTGGTTTATAGCTATAAAAAATCCTGTAGGAATTTTGATAGGAATTGTGTTAAACCTGTGTGATAGATAATTTTTTGTGCCACTTGACTAGGTCATAGGATAACCAGAAATCTGGTTAAACATTATTTCTTGGTGTCTCTGTGAGGATGTTTCCATGAGAGATTAGCATTTGAATCAGTAGAGAGAGTAAAGCATATAGACCTCCCTAATGTTTGTGGGCGTCATCCAATCAATTGAGGGGCTGAATAGAACAAAAAGGTGGAGGAGGGGAGAATTCCCTCTGCTTGACTGCTTAAGCTGGGACATCAGTCTTTTCTGGGTCTGGAAATTATACCATTGGCCTTCCAGTTCTCAGGCCTTCAAACTTGGTTTAAAACTTCCACCATCAACCCTCCAAGTTCTCAGGCTTTTGGACTCTACCTGAACTAAACTATAGCATTGGCTTCCCTGAGTCTGCAGCTTGCTGATGACAGATCATAGCTTGCCATCCTCCATAATCACATGAGCCAATTACTCATAATAAATCCATATATATATATATATGTATGTATATATATCCAAGAAATTGCAGATTTAGTTCCAGACTACCATAATAGAGCAAAAATTGCAACGAAGCAAGTCACACAAATGTTTTGGTTTCCCAGTGCATATAAAATTATGTTTATACTATATTGTAATCTGTTAAGTGTGTGATAGCATTACATCAAAATCATGTACATACCTTAACTTAAAAATACTTCATTGCTAAAAATTGCTAACAATTGTCTGAGACTTCAGTGAGCCCTTTGTTGCCATTTGAACAATGTTCACAGCATCTTCACCAGGAATAGATTCCATCTCAAGAAATCACTTTCTTCTCTCATCCATAAGAAACAACTTCTCATTCATTCCAATTGGATCATGAAATTGTAGCAATTCAGTCACATCTTTGGGCTTCACTTTTAATTCCATTTCTCTTGTTCTTTCTACCACGTCTGCAGTTACTTCCTCCGTTGATGTCTTGAACCTCTCAAAGTCATCGATGAGGTTGGAGTCAACTTCTTATAAACTCCTTTTCATGTTGGTATTTTGACCTCCTCTCATAAATCATGAATGTTCTTAGTGGTATCTAGAATAGTGAATCCTTTGCAGAAGGTTTTCAATTTACTTTGCCCAGATTCATCCAAGGAATCACTAGCTATGGCAGCTATAGCATTAGAGAATGTATTTCTTAAATAATAAGACTTAAAAGTTGAAATGACTCCTTGATCCATAGGCTGCAGAAAGGATGTTGCGTTCACAGGCATAAAAACAATACTCATCCTGTGTTACATCTCCATCAGAGGTCTTGAGTGACCAAGTGTATTGACAGTGAGCAATAATATACTGAAAAGAATCTTTTTCTGAGCAGTAGGTTTCAACAGTAAGCTTAAAACATTCAGTAAACTATGCTATAAACAGAATTGCTGTCATCCAGGCTTTGTTCTTCCATTTATAGAGCATAGGCAGAGTAGATTTAGCATAATCCTTAAGGGCTCTTGGATTTTCAAAATGGCCAATGAATACTGATTTCAGCTTAAAGTCACCAGCTGCATTAGGCCCTAACAAGAGAGTCAGCCTGTCCTTGGAAACTTTGAAGCCAGGCATTGATTTCTCTTCTCCAGCTATGAAAGTCCTAGATGAAATCTTCTAATACAGGGCTGGTGCAGCTTCCTTGAAAATTCATTGCTTATCTGAAATGCTTGAGATCAGAAGTGTTTTGGTTTTGATTTTTTTTGGATTTTTTGAATATTGTATGTACATAATTGAAAATCCATTGTTCAGTATAGCCACCTTCATCAATGATCATAGCTAGATTCTCTGGATAACTTGATGCAGTTTTTCCATTAGCACTTGCTGCCTCACCTTGTACTTTTACGTTAAGAAGATGGCTTCTTTCCTTAAACCTCATGAGCCAACTTCTGCTAGCTTCCAACTTTTCTTCTGCCACTCCCTCACCTCCCTCACCCTTCACAGAACTGAGGAGAGTTAGTCCTTGCTCTGGACTAGAGTTTGGCTTAAGGAAATGCTGTGGCTGGTGTGATCTTCTGTCCAGACCACTGAAGCTTTCTCCGTATCAGCAATGAGACTGTTTGACTTTCCTCTCATTTGTGAGTTCCCTGGAGTAGCGTTTTTAATTTCCTTTTATAACTTTTCCTTTGCACTCACAATTTGGCTGTTTGGCACAAGAGGCTGAGCTTTTGGCCAGTCTCAGCTTTCTACATGCCTTCCTCACTAAGCTTAGTGATTTCTAGCTTTTGATTTAAAGTAAGAGACATGCAACACTTCCTTTCACTTGAATACTTAGAGGCCATTGTAGGGTTATTAATTGGCCTAATGTCAATATTGTTGTGTATCAGGAAATAGGGAGGCCTGAGGAGAGGGAGAGGGATAAGGGAACAGCTGGTTGGTGGAGCAGTCAGGACACACAAAACATGTATCAATTAAGTTCCCTGTCTTATATGGGTGTGCCTTGTGGCACCCCAAAACAATTACAATAGTAACATCAAAGATTGCTGATCACAGATTATCCTAACAGATATAATAATAATGAAAAAGTTTAAAATATTGTGAGAATTACCAAAAGTAACACAGAGACATGATGTGAGTATATGCTGTTGAAAAAATTATGCTGATAGACTTGCTCAATGCAGGATTGCCACAAACCTTCAATTTGTAAAAAAACACAATATCTGCTAAGCACAATAAAGTGAAGTGCAATAAAATGATGGATGCCTGTATATAATATATATATATGTATGTAATATATTTTATTATCTATAAAGGGACTTATGGGAAATAGGCTCATATAAACATCTGTAATATATTATAAACACAAATATATACTTATATGTAATATGCATGTTATATGTATGCAACTTCTATATGTTACACAACCTACATAATAGTTTGGAAGAATTGAAATTTTTACGATGTGGAGTATTTCAATGTATAATCATGATATGTCTCTCCATTTATTTTGATCTTCTTTGATTTCTTTCATGAGCATTTTAAAATTTTCATAATACAAGTACTGTGCATGTGTGGCTAGATTTACACCTAAGTGTCATTTTTTTTGAATGCTGTTTTTCTTTTTCACATGCTACCTGCTTGCCATAACACCGAAGTGTCATTTCTTGAGCATTTGTAAGTGATATTATATTTTAAATTTTGGTTTTTGTGTGTTCATTGCCAGTTTGTGGAAATACAGGTTGCGTATTGCTTATCGGAAATGCTTGAGACCAGAAATGTTTCGGATTTTGATTTTTTTGGATTTTTTTAATATTACATTTACATAATGAGATATCTTAGGGGTGGGACCCAAGTCTAAAAATAAAATTTATTTATGTCTCTTATACATGCAGCCTGAAGATAATTTTATACATTATTTTTAATAATTTTGTGCATGAAACAAAGTTTGTGTTAGGTACTTATATGTTAGATACTTATATATGGAATTTTCCAAATATAAGTGGCATCATATCGGTGCTCAAAAAGTTTTGAATTTGGAACATTTCTGATTTCAGATTTTCAGATTAGGAATCCTCAACCTGTATACTCTCAAGAAATCTCCATACAACATCTTAGAACTAATAAATGAGTTCAGCAAGGTTTCAGGATACAAGATCAACATGCAAAATACAACTGTATTATATTGTTTTACAGGTTATCTACATGCAAAAAAAGAAATTGGACTTTACCTTGCACCATTTCAAAAATTAACTAAAAATGAATCAAAGACCTAAATATAAGAGATAAAACTATAAAACCCTTAGAAAACTCTTAGAAAAAATAGAAGAAAGTCTTCATGATATGGCATTTATTTGATAAAGATTTCATGTATATGACACCAACTGCACAGCTCATGAAATTTTAAAAAGATAAACTGGACTACAGGAAAATTAAAAACCTCCATGCATCAAAGACATGATCGACAGAGTGAAAAGATAATCCATGGAATGGGAGAAAATATTTGCAAATCATATATCCGAACAGGGGTTAACATCTAAAATATATAAAGAATTCCTACAACTCAACAACAAAAATACCCAAACAACTTTTTAAAAAATAGGCAAAGGACTTGCTGTGATTTGGATATGGTTCGTTTGGTCCTGCCAAGTCTCTTGTTGAAATTTGATCCCCAGTACTGGAGGTGGGCCTAGTGGGAGGTGTTTGGATCATGGGAGAGGATTCCTCATGAGTGGCTTGGTGCCATTCTCACAGGAGTGAGTGAGTTCTCATTCTTATTTTCCACAAGCACTGCTTGTTAAAAAGAGCCTGGCACCTCCTTCTCTCTCTCTTGCTTCTACTTTCTCCATGTGATCTCTGCATGCTGGCTCCCCTTCACCTTCCACCATGAGTGAAAGCAGCATGAGACCCTCACCAGAAGCTGAGCAGATGCTGGCACCATGCTTCTTATATAGCCTTCAAAACCATAAGACAAATAAATCTCTTTTTGAAGTAAATCCAGCCTTGAGTATTTCTTTATAGCAACACAAATGGGCTAAGATAGGACTTGAATTGACGTTTCTCCAAAGACGATAAACAAATGGCTGTTCAGAAGCATAGGAAAAGATGGTCAACATCACTAATCATTAGGGAAATGCAAATCCAAACCACAATGAGGTACCACCTCACACCCATTAAAATGGCTACTATCCTATATATAGATATATATATAATTTATTTATATATAAAAATACATGTTTATTTATATGGCTTTATATATATAAGTCCAATATATATTTATGGGATTATATATTTTTAAAAATGTATATTTTAAAATATAATTTATATAATTGTATATATAATTTACATTATATATTTATTTATATATTTATAGTAGCCATTAAGATGGCTACTATCCCATATAAATATATATATATAAAATCATATATCTGAACAGAGTTCAGATACATAAATATAAACATAAATATTTTTATATATAAGATATATAATGTCTATTTATATACAAATAAAACATCTGAAAAGAGGTTCAGATGCATAAATATATATATTATATATAAATAAAATCATATATCTGAACAGGGGTTCAGATATATAAATATATATATATATGTGTGTGTGTATGGGATAGTAGCCATCTTAATGGGTGTGAGGTGGTACCTCATTGTGGTTTGGATTTGCATTTCCTTAAGGATTAGTGATGTTGACCACCTTTTCCTATGCTTGTCAGCCATTTGTTAACTTCTTTGGAGAAATGCCAATTCAAGTCCTATCTTAGTCCATTTGTGTTGCTATAATGGAATACTCGGGCCTGAATTTATAAAGAAAAAAAGGCTTATTTAGATTGTGGTTCTGAAGGCTATATAAGCAGCATAAATATATGTTCTCTTGTCCCTCTGAAGATATTAATATGAAATTTTCAAAAGCTCTTTATGCCCTATTAGCTATATTTGTATAGGTGTTGACTTTTGAGTTTATTTGCTATATACGTGTTTATATATATATATATATATATATATATATATATATATATATATATATATATATATATCTCTATTGACTTTTGAGTTTTACATATATATACAGACACACACACACACACTCACACACACACAGATAGTCCCCAGCTTGCAATGGTTCAGCTTTTTAAAAAAATTATTTATTTAACTTTTTTTTAGAACAGGGTCTCACTATGTTGCCTAGGCTGGTCTTGAACTCCTGGGCTCAAGGGATCCTCCCACCTCAGCCTCCCAAATTGCCGACATTACAGGTGTGAGCCACCACTCCTGGCCTGTAACTGTTCAATTTAATGATTTTTTTAACTTATGGTGGTGCAAAAGCAATATGGTTTCTATGGACTGTGTATTCAATGCATACTATTTATATCAAATGTTTGCACAGGCTGTTGAAGTGACTGAATCTGGCCAAATATTCTGAGCGTTTCGGAGGGATTTTTAACATTCTAAATGCTATCTGGAACATCGATGCAGCATGGGAAGAAGTCACACAGCCATGCATGAACAGCATTTGGAAGAAAGTTTTGAAGACATATGTGAACACATTCAAAATGTTAACAGAGATTCTGCCGTATTCATAAGCTTGTTGGCATCGAGGCTGAAGAGCTTTCCAATGAGAAGCTGGAAAAAGAAAGAAGTAAAGAAGTTGGGGCAAAGATAGAAGAAATTGTTCCTGAGGCACCAAGAAAGTTCATAGCAAATAAACTGGCAGCGGTGTTTTCTACTATCAGCAGTGGTGTGTGAATGTTAGGACAAATGGGTGACAATTACAATTGCTATCACACACATATTGTTCCATAGTCTCTCCTGTTCTTTGCCAGCCTTATTACCTTTTCTTTTTTCCCTATTAATCCAAGAGCTCTATGGGAGTAAAAAGGATGCTCTTCCTTGCAATGAAGAAATATGTAATGAAAAGAAAAAACATATTGTCAAAACTTGGTATCTACCTGAAGAACACTTTGCCTTCTAAACCATAAACAAGTGTCAGTGTCCCAGTGCCTTCTGCCAGCTATTCTCAAGACTCATCAGAAGAGAGTGAAATTGATGACTCTGTAGCTGTAGCATCCCCATTATCAGCACTTAATTTTAGCTTAATGCTTTGAACATTCTTCAGGCTCAGTGTGCTTTCATCTGTACACATTAATGGTGAGTATCCTTATAATAATTCTGTTTTCATTTTCAGTATAGTATTCAATAAGTTACATGAGATATGTAAAGTGTCACACTTTATTATAAAATAGGCTTTGTGGAGGCCATTATCCTTAGCAAACTAAGGCAGAAACAAAACCAAATACAGCATGTTCTCAATTATAAGCTAAATGATGAGAACTCATGGACACAAAGAGGGGAGCAACAGACACTGGGGCCCACTTGAGGGTGGAGGGTGGGAGGAAGGAGAGGGTCAGAAAAAATAACAATTGTGTACTTAGTACCTGGGTGATAAAATAATCTGTACAACAAACCCCCATAACATGAGTTTACTTATAAAATAGGCTTTGTGTTAAATGATTTTGCCCAACTGTAGGCGAATGTAAGTATTCTGAGCACATTTCAGGTAGGCTAGGCTAAGCTATGAAGGTCAGTAGGTGTGTTACTGGACACTGTGCTAAATGAAATAAGCCATTTACAAAAGTATAAATACTATATGATTTGTCTTATGTAAAGTACCTAGAGTAGTCAAAATCAGAGAGACGGAAAGTATCATATTTGTTGCAGGGGTTGGGAGGAGGGAAAATGGGATCTTTTTTTATGGGTATAGAGTTCCAATTTTACAAGAAAAGAGTTCTGGGGATTGGTTGCACAAACATGTGAATGTATTTTAACACTATTTTGAAAGGTACGTTTAAAAATGATTAAGACGGTAAATGTTATGCTGTATGTATTTTGCCACAATTTAAAAATTTTAAAGAAATACTTATATGCTAGTTAAATACACAAAATAATTGACAACTAGGAATGGGAAATAAAATTCATATATTTTAGCATATTAGTTAACATGGCTCCAGTGCTTAAACATCATAGCTTCCTGTCATCCAGGGCAAAAAAGGAAATATGATAGGTTTCATAACCATCTTACTAAAAGGGGAAAAGAATGTAGTCATTTGGAAGAGGTACACTTTTCCTCAGCATGAAATCCTTGTTACTCATTCCCTTGTAGGTGGCATCAGTTATTTTGTTTGTTTAATATTGTTTTGTTGTACTGTTCACTGAAAACTTTTAGGATTTTTCTCCTTATCTTTGATACACAAATTTTTACTATGATGTATCTATCTAGTTTGGGTCTTTTTTCATTATCCCAGGCTCTGGTAGACACTATCAATCTGAAACTATATGATTTGGGGGGAATTTTCTTCTATTATTCTTTCGATTATTTCCTCTTCTTGATTCTTTTCGTTCTCCTATTTTTCCACTCCTGCTCTTCTGCAGTGTCTACCATACTTATATTGGGGTTTCTGGAGTTATTTGCCACATCTCTTTACTGTCTTCCTTTTGCTTTATAAGCTGAAAAATTACTTAATAATTTTCAATATTCCCACTTTTTAATTGGGTCTTTAGTTATCTCATTTTTCTACTGACAATTTAGATATTATTTATCTATTTACCTTGATGGTTTAATTTTTATATTTATGTTTATATTTATAAGATGCCCAAGTGGTTCTTTTTTATATCAAGGTCTTCTCATTTTGTGAATATTATGTCTTATCTTGTCCCTCAGAAGATATTAATATGACATTTTAAAAGACTCTTTGTGCCCTATTAACTCTATTTGTATAAGTGTTGACTTTTGAGTTTATTTGATGTGCCTCTTTCAAGGTGTTGCTTTTCTTAAATGTTTAGTGATTCTTAGTTGTGTGTACATCTTTGGGCTTCAGGTTCCCTGTTCTCATTTTTGTGGCTACTACTTTATATATTGTATACCATTAGTATAGATTTATCATTATTTTTTATGCTTTTAAATCTTGTAGAAGAACAAAAATGGAGTTATGAACCACATTGTGATAATACTGGTTTTGTATTTTTTGATGTATTTACCTTTACCAAAGAACTGTATATTTTTATATGGTTTTTTCGTAACTGTCTAACATGCTTTTATTTCAACTTGAAGGAATCACTTTAGTATTTCTTATAGGGCAGTTCTGGTGGAAATGAGCTTCTTCATTTGTTTATCTGGAAATGTCTCAATTTCTCCCACATTTTTGAAGAATAGTTTTGTAAGATGTAAAATTATTGGTTGACAGTTTTTTTCTCTCAGTACTTTTAATACATCATCCTGTTTCTCTTTGGGTTTCATGGTTTCTGCCAAGAAATCTACTGATAATCTTATTGAGGATACCTTGTATGTGACAAGTTGCGTTTTTCTTGATGCTTTCAAGAATCTCTCTCTTTGTCTTTTGACAGCTTGATTATAATGTGTCTTGGTGAGCTTACACTACTTGGAGTTTGTTCAGCTTCTTGTATTTGTGTATCTATATATTTCTTCAAATGTGGGGAACTTTTGGCCATTATTTCTTCAAATAAGCTTTCTGTCTCTTTTTTTTAATTTTATTTTTGCTTTTTGCTTCTCAGACTTGATAATTTCAAATGACTTGTCTTCAAGTTCACTGATTTTTTTTCTTCTGCCTGTTTTAGTCTTTCATTGAAGCCTTTTAGTGAATTTTTAAATTCAGGTATTGTGTTTATTAGGTATTGTGATTTCTGTTTTGTTCTTTTAAAATAATTTTTATCTTTGTGTTGAAATTCTTACTTTGTTCATGTGTCATTTTCTTGATTTTGTTTAGTGTTCTGTTCATGTTCATTGGCCACATGTAAGTTGTTTTAAAATTTTTGTCAGGTAAGTCTGAGGCCTGTGATTCTTCAGGGACTGTTTTGGAGATTTATTATTTTGCTTTTGAATTGGCCATATTCACCTGTTTCTTTGTATGCATTGCAATCTTTTATTGAAAATTGGGGATTTGAGAAAATAGCACCGCTCCCAGTCTTTGCAGGTTGGCTCCATGCAGGGGAAGACCTTCATTAATCAGTCCAGCATGAAGGCTCTGAATCTTTTCTGGGAATGTTTTCCCTGGTCTTCCATGTGTGCTTTCTCCTCCAATTCCCCCATCTGCATGGCTGCTTTTATTTTATTTTGTTTATTTATTTATTTGAGACGGAGTCTTGCTCTGTCACCAGTCTGGAGTGCAGTGGCGAGATGTCGGCTCACTGCAGCCTCTGCCTCCCGGGTTCAAGCAATTCTCCTGCCTCAGCCTCCTGAGTAGCTGGGACTACAGGTGTGTGCCACCATGCCCACCTAACTTTTTGTGTTTTAGTAGAGACGGGGTTTCACCATGTTGGTCAGGCTGGTCTCAAATTCCCAACCTCAGGTGATCTGCCTGCCTCGGCCTCCCAAAGTGCTGGGATTACAGGTGTGAGCCACTGTGCCCAGCTGGCTGCTTTTAAACATCTTAATTTCTGTGAGTCTCAACCTTGCTTCTCAGGGCCTTAGATGTTCTGTTGTATTTCTCTGCTCATGATCTCTTGCCCCAGGTACTTGTAGGTCTGTAGTCCTCCTGTAGTTATCACATGCCAAAGTGCCCATTCCTGCTTCCAGGGGCCTCCAAGCTGATATCTAAACTATGGCACTGTTTCCATTCACTGTCCGAGTCACACAAGACATAAACCAGTCACCCATGCATCCCTCAGACAAGCCAGAATGTTGCAAGCAAGTTCCACTCATTTTCTTTGGTCCCAAGGGAGGAAGAACCAGGAATTGAGTGGTTGCCTCTTAAGCAAGCTACACTGCATGAAGGAGAGCATAGGGAAAGGGTGAGCAAAAATGCCATGAAATGTCTTACCCTTTTGAGTGTGGCTTTTTCTTGGCTTAGTATTTACTTGTTTTGTACAACTTCTTAACTAGTTTCCCAAAGCTACTATGGTCCATATGTTATTTGATGTTTCCATGGAGGAACAAGGACCTAGAGCTTACTAGTCCATTATCTTGTGGATCTCCTGTATAGCTCTCCTGTCTTTTGATGTAAGTAAAATTCCACCTAAGACATAGAGCTTCAGATTGACAGTGCCCACCAAAAATCTTTTCTGGAAATATGCCATAACAAATTGAATAAATAAACTAAATTCATATCACTTAAAAGGAAAGTAGATAGATTATGGAAAATGATGTATTTATCCTTCAAAGAGTTGAATGAAAGAAACTAAGATTTTCTTGAAGACAGTGCTCAGAGTAAGTGCAAAGAGGTGCTAAAGAAACAGTGAATGGTAGTGGTTTAATTGGCTAGATACCTGGGGGAATAAACGTTTTAAAAGGACCCCCAAATAACCTCTAGTTAAACAGAAAATAGTAAGATAATATTTAGTGATGGTGCTGTAACATTTGGAGATTAATTAATTGGCACTTAGGAGTTTTTGTTTTTCAAAATAGGCTTTTCAGCCATTAGAAGTATGCTCATTTGCAAGAAAAAGAATATCATCTAACAGTGGCTTAAATAAAAATTGTTACCTTTTCTCACACAGGAAATCTGGAGATAGAAAGATTTGGGTATTGGTTCAGCAGCTCAATGATGCCAGGGCCAGTGTGTTGGCATTCTTCTGGCCTTATCCTCATGGTTGCAAATTGGTTCCTGCTGTCCCCAGTCAAAGGAGGAAGAAGAGGGAATTGGCAGCAGTTATCAGAGCCTTTATCAGAAAAGCACAGATTTCCCAGGAATCCCCAGGAGACTTCTGGTTACAGTCCATTGGCCATAATGTGGTCAAATGGGCTTCCCTATCAACAAGGGAGACAGAGAAAGTGAGTTTTTATATTTTTCAGCTTGTTCTGTGGAAGGTGGCAAGAGAAAAGTGGGGTGGGGATTGCTTCGGCTAAGCAGATCCTGTAGTGTTTGCCACAGGGGTATTTAATGACTAAAATCCCACTTGGTTGTCAGGTAAGTAAGCAAGAAATTCTATGCTTTTACCTTATCACAGACTTCCTTAGTCTCCAGATTATTCTGAGAGATAGGCACATACACAAAGTGTGCTCCTTGGTGTGTATTTTAAGATAATGTTTTGTATTTTGCACAGAAGCAAATATTGCCTCTTCCATATTATAGTTTTAATAAGTTTATGGCCTTGTCATTAACTCATTCAACCAATATTTATTCGGATTTATCTATATGATAGTAATTGTAGTTGATACTGAGATTTCAGAGATGAATAAGATAAGATCCCTAGCTTCAAGTAGTTCATAGCCCAAGAGTGAAATACTTTGATATAAGTAGTTATATACATATAATTATAATTTATCAAAAGAGCACTGAAGAGCATATATAGTGATATGTATCTTCGGCTCTCTATACATATCCTTAGTCTGGGGACAATCATTTGAGTTTGTGGATCTTGATAGGAGATCCAGGAAGATCAGTTTAGAGATAATTCAAAGCTTCTTAAGCAAATGTCACTTTGTAATGACACTACCTTTCTTTGATCTCTATATTGTCCCTCAAGTAGTTGAAGCCTGTAGTTCTTTAATATATGGTTAGCTTACTTAGCTTGAAGATAATACAGCAGTTTGAGTTTAGTTATGAGTATTATACTTGAAAGCTAAGAACATGATCAGCATTTAGCTTTATATCTTAAAGGGGTTGGTGAGTTTCTGCACCTGGTTCACTTGACATGCCTGAGCTCTGAGTAAGAATAAGAATCAGAATGCACCTGGCTTCCACAATAAAGAAAGCAGCCAGAGGTACCCCATTTTAGGGCCACTGAGATGAGCTGTTCCCAACCAGATGACATGGGGTGATTTCCTCTTCACTTTTCTGCTTTCAGCAGGTTCAAAACTGCCTGGAATCATGAGAATCTTTAATTCCTCTTCTTGGCTAGGAATCTTCTCCTGTTTTCTCCATTGGATTACATAAGACCAGGATATGGCACTAAAGCTTGCTTTTCTTTACCTATATGTTGTGACTCCATGTCTCTGTGGAAAAGCTCTCTCATTTAGGACTGAAGTCCACAAATTCAAGCACATGGGGCAGATACTGTAGTTGTATGGTCTGTGAGCTAAGAATGGTTTTTACATTTTTCATTGGTTGAAAAGACCAAAAGGAGGATATTATTTTTGACCTCTGAAAATGTTATGAAATTCAGATTTCAGTGTCTGTGACTAAACATTTATCGAAGTATAGTATGCTAGGTTGTTCTTGCATCGCTATCAAGAAATATCTTAGACTGGGTAATTTATAAGAAAAGAGATTCAATGAACTCCCAGTTCTGCGGGGTGCACAGGGAGCATGGTAGCATCTGCTTGTGGGGAGTCCTCAGGAAGCTCCCAATGGTGGTAGAAGGCAAAGGGAAGCAGGTACATCACATGGTGAGAAGAAAGAAAGAGAGAGAGAAAGTAGGGGTGGAGTGGGGAGGTGCCACTCTTCACTTTTCTGCTTTTGGCAGGTTACAAAACTGCCTAGAATCATGAGAATCACTTTTAAATGATCAGAATCTCATGTGAACTCAGTGGAAGGTCATTTATCACCAAGTGGATGGTCACTTATCACCAAGAGGATGGCCCAAGCCATTTCCTGAGGGATCCACTCCTTTGATCCAAACACCTTCCACCAGGCCTCACCTCCAACCCTGGGGATTACATTTCAATATGAGATTTGGGCAGGGACAAATACCTAAACAGTATCATTTTGTCCCTGGGCCCTCCCAAAGTTCATGTCCTTCTCACATTGCAAAATACAATCATGCCTTCTTGACAGTCCCTGCAAAGTCTTATTTCAGCATTAACTCGAAAGTCCACAGTCCCATCTGAGACAAGGCAAATCCCTTCTACCTATGAGCCTGTAAAATCAAAAACAAGTTAGTTACTCCCAAGATACAATGGGGGGATAGGCATTGCATAAACATTCCCATTCCAAAAGGGAGAAATTGACCAAAAGAAAGGAGCTACAGGCCCGTCAAAGTTTGAAACCCAGCAGGGCAGTCACTATATCTTAAAGCTCCAAAATCTCCTTTGACCCCATGTCCCACATCCAAGGCATATGATGCAAGGGGTGGGCTCCCAAGGCCTTTGGCAGCTCTGCCTCTGTGACTTTGCAGAGTTTAGCCTCCAAGGCTGCGCTCATGGGCTGGAGTTGAATGCAATGCCTGTGGCTTTTCCAGGCTCAGGGTGCAAGCAGCTGGTGGATCTACTCTTCTCAGGTCTGGAGGATGGTGGTCCCCTTCTCACAGCTCCACTAGAAATGCCCCAGTGAGGACTCCATGTGGGGCCTACAATCCACATTTCCCCTTGGCATTGCCCTAGTAGAGTTCTCTGTGAGGGCTCTGCCCCTGTAGCAGGCTTCTGCATGGACACCGAAGCTTTTCCATTTATCCTCTGAAATCTGGGCAGAGGCTCCCAAGACTCAACTCTTGTACTCTTGCACCCACAGGCTTAACACCACAGGGAAGCCCCCAAGGCTTATGGTTTTTACCCTCTGGAGCAGCATTCTGAGCTGCATCTGGGGCCCTTTGAGCCAAGGCTGGAGCTGGAGCAGCCAGGATGCCGGGAAAAATGTCCCAAGGCTGCGCAGGGCAGTAAGGCCCTTGGCCTGGTCCCTGAAGCCATTAAGTTCTCCTAAGCCTCAGGGCCTAAGATGGGAGGGGCTGCTTCAAAGATCTCTGAAATGCCTTTGAAGCCTTGTTTTCCATTGTCTTGGCTATTAGCATGTGGTTCCTTTTCAGTTGTGAAAATTTCTCCAGCAAGTAGTTGCTTCACAGCCTGCTTGAAATCCTCTCCTGAAAAAGCTTTTTCTTTCTTTGTCACATGGCTAGGCAGCAATTTTTCCAAACGTGTATGTTCTTCTTCCTGTTTAAATATAAGTTCTAACTTTAAGTCATTCTTTTGTTCCCACATCAGAGGGTAGGTTGTCAGAAGCAGCTAGGCCACCTCTTGAATGCTTTGCTGTTTATAAATTGCTTCCACCAGATATCCTAAATCATCATTATGAAGTTCAAACTTCCGTGGATCCCTAGGGCATGAACAGAATGCAGCCAAGTTTTTCGTTAAGGTATAACACATGTGATCTTTGCTCTAGTTCCCAATAAGTTCTTAATTTCCATCAGAGACTTCAGCAACCTAGATTTCACTGTCCACATCACTATCAGCAGTTTGGTCACAACCATTTGGCTAGTCTCAAAGAAGTTTCAAACTTTCCCTCATCTTCCTGTCTTCTGAGCCCTACAAACTCTTGCAACCTCTATTATCCAGTTCCAAAGCTACTTCCACATTTTCAGGTATCTTTTTAGCAGTGTCCCACTCCTTGGTACCAATTTTCTGTATTAATCCATTCTTGCATTGCCATAAGGAAATATCTGAGACTGGGTAATTTGTAAGAAAAGAGGTTTAATTGACTCATGGTTCTGCAGGCTCTGCAGGAAGCACAGCAGCATCTGCTTCTGGGGGGTCCTCAGAAAACTTTCGATCATGGCGGAAAGCTAAGGGGGAGCAGGCACATCACATGGCAAGAACAGAGAAAAAGAGAAAGTAGGTGGGGGGAGGTGCCACACACTTTTAAACAACCCAAATCTCATGTGCACTCAGAGTGAGAGCTCACCTATCACCAAGAGGATGACCCAAGCCATTTCCTGAGGGATCCACTCCCATGATCCAGACACCTCCCACCAGGCCCCACCTCCAACATTGGGGATTACATTTCAACATGAGATTTGGGTGGGGACAAATATCCAATCTATATCACATAGCCATGTTCATTGATTTACATACTGTCTGTGGCTGAGAATTGAGTAGCTGCAACAGAGGCTGTAGCATCTACAAAGCCTAAAATATTTACTATCTGGCCCTTTACAGAAAAATTTTGCCATCTTCTGATTTAGAAGAAAAGTTACCACCTCTAGATACAGAAAAGAAATCTAGGCCAGGCACGGCGGCTCATGCCTGTAATCCCAGCACTTTGAGAGGCCAAGGTGGGCAGATCATGAGGTCAGGAGATCGAGACCATCCTAGCTAACAAAGTGAAATCCCGTCTCTACTAAAAATACAAAAAAAAAAAAAAATTAGCCAGGAATGGCAGCAGGCACCTGTAGTCCCAGGTACCTGGGAGGCTGAGGCAGGAGAATGGTGTGAACCCGGGAGGTGGAGCTTGCAGTGAACCGAGATCATGCCACTGCACTCCAGCCTGGGCAACAGAGTGAGACTCTGTCTCAAAAAAAAAAGAAATCTATAACTGCACTAATATTCTGCAGTAACAAAACTGGGGTTGCATGTCACCTATCAATCTGCTAATGTGTAGGGGAATTGACACCATTACGCAGCACAGTGGTGATCAAATATTTTTAGCAGTAGTAGCCTTTTTTCAAAGAATTTTACTATTTTATCCATCCAGTATGAATTATATGTATATGTAAAATATATGTACACACATATTCTGGACTGGTTTCTAAGGTCCCTTTGGCGGTCTCTAAAATCCTGTGGCTGTGGGATTGTCTCTGCAGTCTCAGTCCCTTACAGTCTATGTTCTTAGTTAGAAGTACTCTCTCATTGCAAGGAGGAGCACTACAGGGCCCAGGAGGTTCATTGTTCCCACCTCCATAAATGGCACTGATTGTCTCCACAAACCAATAACATCCAGGTCAATCTTAACAACTATTCTTCTCCTTTATCCTCACATTCAGTTCACCACCAAGTTCCATTAGTTCTGTCTCCTAAGTATCCCACCTAAGTGTCTTTATCTTTCTCTTCCCAGTGCTACCTCCCTGCCCAGTGTTCCCAGCACCTGGACTCTTGGAAAAGCCTTTCAATGATATCATTAGTCACTCTTGATCCTCCTGAAACACTGTTTGTAAAGCAACCAGAGTAGGCCTTTTAAAAAGGTCTGCTGTGAGATTCCTGGTTCCAAACTCTGAGTGTCTTCCCAATGACTGTCTCTTCAGGCCCATCTCTTATGTCTGTCTCTGCCAGACCCAACCATGCTGGGCTCCTTCCAGTTCTACCTCAGGGACTTTATGCATGCTATTCCTTCCCTTCACACCCTACTTTCCTATTTCCTTTTTATTCTTTAGGTCTTGGTTTCCATTTATGAGATGAAATACTGAGTACATATTGTGTTCCAGATACTGCATTAAGAGCTCAGAATACAGATATGGAGAAGACAGACATAATCCTGTCCCATGAACCTTATGATCTAATAGGGAATACAGGCATTAAACAAATAATCCTCAACTAAGGAATTAATAAGCATTGTGATAAGTACTAGGAAGCTGAAATACAGGGAGATTTCAGAGAGTGAAACAGGGTAATGACCTAATCTTGGGGTCATAGGGAATCCTCTGTGGAAGCGATGTTTAAGCTGAACTATTAGAATTCCAAGCCAAGGGTAAACCATGCACAAAGGTCCTGAGGCTGGAAAAATGGAAAGAAGCCCAGCTCTAGAGTATGAAGAGTGAGAGAGATAATGGTTTATAATAAGCTGAAGACCAAAGGAGGGCCCAGATCACATGCCCTGTTAAACATTTTGGCCATTGAGAATTTAGGCTTAAGTGTCCCTTCCTCCAGGAAGCCTTCCTTCACGGTCCTAACTAGAAGAGGCAAACAGGCCCATCCCCAGTTCTGCCATCACACACATATTGTTCCATTGTCTCTCCTCCTTTGCTGGCCTTATTGCCTTGTCTCTTTTCCCCTAGTCCAAGAGCTCCATGAGAGTAAGAATCTGTCTGTCCCCTTCCTCGCTGTTTCCTCTGTGCCTAGCACAGTGCCTGGAATATAATAGGAACTCAATAAATATGTGTTAAATTAATGAATGAACCTTCTTTTCTGTCCAATGATGGACTCTTCTTGTGCTCCGCAGAAGGGGCCTTATTCATGGATTATTCTTCTCAGTCATTTCCATAGCCTCCCTGCTACTCTCCTGACTTTCCATTCTCCTGTCTCTCAGTCCATCCTCCTCCCCGCTGCCTGAACTACTATCTTAAAGTAAACGTAGAATTATATCTTCTTAAAAAATCTCTGTATCCTCAAATATCATTGCTCCTCAGTGCCAAAAGAATAAAATACAAATTCCTCTGCTGCCAAGCCCAAACTTCTTCCCCACCATGAATTGGACCTGGCCTATCTTTCTAGCCTCATCTGCTCCTCATTTCACATATCCTGAGCTCCAGTCATAGTAGACTTCCCACAGATCTTCAAATGCACCCCACTGTTGTTATTGTGCCAACTGATAATGCACTTCTTGATCTTCTCTGCTTGTCAACTTCTGGCTCATTCTGTGTCCCCCATCTGAGCCCCAGAATTCTGTTTTTTATTCTGTTTCCATCACCCTGTGGTTCTCAAAGTGTGAGAGAAAACTTGTTAGATGTGGGGGTTCTCACCCCCACAGACTTCCTCAAAAACTCCGGGGCTGGGGAGATCTGTGGTTGCACAAGCCTTCTAGGTGGTTCTAGTGCACACTAAAGTTTGAAAGTCACTGCCATACCTTATTGCTGTATTTTTTGTTTAGGATTTTAGACCACGTGAAGTACTAGTGTTACGGGATCTCTAGGGTGTCGATTTTCTGTGGCTGTGGCACCTTTGCCTGAGTTCTTGTCTTGTGTCCAGGAAGAATGAGGTACACAGACAAGTGAAGGGTGAAGAAGAGGAAGAGTTTTATTTGGTGTCAGAGCAGCTCAGAGGAGTGGGTAGCTCCTTTCTATAGGCAGGTCATCCCCTTGAGTGTTCAGCTCTCAGCGGAGAGGAGACCCTGGAGAGGGTGGCTCCTTTCTGCAGGCACGTCATTTGGATGTCTCTGCAGGTCTCTGAAGCTCTCTGCTGCAGTTGCTGCTCTCAGTGGAGACGGTACTCCTCTCTGCAGCTGGTTGTCTCCTTGTCTTTCTGTCGCTTGCTCTCTTCATCCTCTCTCTGGCCATCCTCTGTTCTGCTCTGCTTGAACCCAGGGTTTTTGTGGACCTCAGAGGGGAGGAAGTGTGTGCCAATTGGTCCATGGGCAGCCATGGGCGGGAAAGAAGAGGCATCATGAGTCCTCACTCTGGTCTGCAGGATTGGTAGCCCAGCCCCCTACTTTCAGGCCTTCCCTGGTCCAGAGGTGGGGCCTTACTGGGGACCTTCCCCCTTCCGCCTAGGAATCAATCTGCCTCCCATTGCCATTCATGGCCCCTGGATTCCGTCCCAAAACCTACTCGAAGGTTGGAGCAGGTGCCAGGAGCAGAGAGGCCAGGCAGTGGGAGCAGACACCCCCGAGCATGCATGGATTAGGGGGTCCTTCCTGGGGCCCCCAGGGGTGCAGACTGCAGAGACGCCTGGGTCCTGTGCCTAGGAGGGCAGCCGCAGCCGTACCCGGGAAGGCAGAGCCTGCCTGCTCCCGGCCCTCCCCCAAGAGCACAGGAAGGCTCAGATCCACAGCTGCAGTTTGGGCGGCTGTAGCCCCGCTGAGGAAGGCGAGGCTCCTGCCTGCTCCGTAGAGCAGGAGGCCTGGGTCTGCAGCTGCTGTTTGGGCAGCTGCAGCGGCACCCAGTGAGCTCCCACTCCAGCCCAGAAGGGGCGGGGCTCCCATAGGCTCCATGGAGTGTGCAGCCGGAGCTGTGCCTCCCTGCTGTAGCCAGCGTGATCCAGCAGCCACTGCCATCACTAGGTAGTTGTTTACTTGTCAGTATCTTTTATTTAGAATGTAAGTAGCCTGAAGGCAAGAGCCAGATCATATCTGTTTTGTTTTGACCACAGTGCAATAAAGTGACACACTAGTGCATGCTGGGTGGCTAATGCCACTCTTTCTATTTCTAACATAATTTAACGTTCCCTCCTCTCCAGTTAATTTATTTCTTTGGAAAATAAGAGATATGATATGATCTATATCAATACAGTAATTAATTCACCTGCAACATGATCGGCGATGAATCCTGGACTCGAATCTTAAGAACCTAAGAAGATGTGTGCTGGGGCAGACTGAATCGTGGAATTGCTTGCCCAGTTGGACTTCGGATTTATGACAGTGCTTTTTGGACTTTAATGTAGATATAAATCACCTGGGGATCTGTTTAAAATGTAGTTTCCTGGCCCAGCAGGGCTGTGAAGGGGCCTGAGAGTCTGCATTTCTCACAAGCTCCCAGGTGCTGCTGATACTGCTGGTCTGATTGGGCCCAGAGGACATTTTATAAATGACCTATCTTCTTGCAAACTAATGTTGCAGCTTCTTCTGGCACAGGGAGAGTTAGTGTGTGGCACTACTTCTTTGTTGTATTTGTATTCATGCCTGGATCAGAGGTCCTAGCCAATAGTTCTCAGTTCTGGGCGCACATCTGAATCACCTGTAGGTGCTCTAAAGAAACAGCACTTGCCTGGGCTTGGCTCTCTGAAAGTTGGGTTTAATGAACCACGGCCGTAGGCAATGAAGTAAAACAGGTGCAGAAATTGCTGTTCTATTCTACACAGCGGATCTATGACAAGTGTGAAATTTATCATCTAAATGATAAGATGATAAAATGCATGTGAAGAAGGACTTAACATTAAAATGATTAAAAGAAAAAAAGCAAATCTTGATGTTGATATAAAATATGACGAACTACCTTCTCAAGATGGAAATCAAAGGTAGGCTTGCTCTGAATGCACCTTTCTCTGGAAACACTCGTGTGTCTAAGTAAGTTGTTACTCAGAAGGAGAGTAGAAACTCGTGCCTAGTTACCTGGATGATTAGGTTGGCCATCTTTATTCCTGCAGTAACGGCACATTTTCCAAAATTAAGCCATAGTTGATCGGATTATTATTCCCATTTTTTATTCTCTCCTGTGTTATAGAATTACAGGACAACCATGTCCTTGCAAAGTGACTTTGCAGTGCCTCCCAAAACGCAGGGAGAGTAGATTTCCTTATCTGACTGATGTTGGGCTCAGCCAATGGAATATCATAATGCAAGCAGAGACTTCAAATGTTCTCAAGGGGTTTTTTTGGCTTCTAGTACTGTTGCCATTTCACAATAAAATTATACCCAGGGTAGCAGAGGTTCTGATTCAGAAGATCTGGGGTGCCGCTCAGGTATCTGCACTTATTAAATATTTAACACAGGTAATTCACTGACTTCTTGGTTTAAAGGACGAGAAAGTAAAACACATAACATAGATGCATTTTGTCCAATGCTTTTACATTCTTTTAACTAAACATCTAGAATACATCATCTTATCTGATAATTACTATGATGGAGTTGACACCATTTAATTGTGGAGTGACATTGTGGTTAGTTTTTCATAAAGTCAAAGTATTCCATTGAAAGATTTTTTTATTTTGAGAATGTAATATTTTCTTTTGCTTTTTTTGTTGTTGTTTGAATTGTTTCTTTCATGGAATGGTGGTGACAGTTGGTTAGCTATTTTTTTTAACTTGGGAAAATTAAAAGTTGGAAATCTTATGTCTGTTTCCAATTTTGGTGGGGTATAGGAGTAAGTGCAGAATTTTTATAGTACAAGAACCCAAAAGCTAGGGAACCACCTTTACAATCTATTAACTTCATTCAATGTGGATCAATCAAACATAGAAGAAGATTAGCTGATGATTAAACTAACTTGCATGTAAGGATCTTTCCTAGTGTCTGGTAGCATAAGCAAAATATGCCTGAAAGGAAATCCATACTAATTAGCTCCTATATGTTAGGACCATATTTTCCTATCAATTTTTGTTGTGAACTACATCTTAAGTCAGTGAAATTTCTCTGCAGAAAACAAAGATGGAGAAATAGATTTTAGCCTAGCAAATGTAGTGTTTACATTAGATTCCACCTGACTACATAAAAATGTCAAAAACATTCTTCCTAATAGTGTTATGAGATGTTTGAAAGTAATAAGCTGTTAATTCCTTTTTCTGGGATTTCTAGCTGACTTAAAATAATGATAATATCACTGATATATTTTCAATGTTAAAAAAAGGTTGGCAACATCTTCACAAATATGCAGTACTGCAAAATGGAGACAAATTATACCAGTTGGCCATGAATAGGTTGTCCTGTTTATTGTTTGGAGGGGCATTAACTCTCTCAAACCCATGAGGCAGCTGTGGTATGCACAGGGCCCAGTCCTGGCTTTGTGTCTGGCCACCTGTGTGACCTTGGACAAGTTGTTTAATGTTTCTGGGCCTCAATTTATCAGTAAAAGGAAGGGTTTAGATTAGGTGGTTTTTCAATATTTTACCAGATCAGAAATTCTGTAATTTTTTTTTACATTCATATAAAAACATCTTCAGATAAAGAGGGAAAAAAATAAGGTGAGTTTGGCTGAGTTATTGCTCACCACTTCCTCGGTAAGAGAGTGCACTTGGGATGATGGAACGTAGCCACAGGAGGGTTAATTCACTTGCCCCAGATCATACATTTATTTAGTGTAAATGTATTTATTTAGTGTAAGGACTTATTGAAATTATTTTTACCCTTTTCATATGGATTATGACATTCAGGAGAATTTTTTTGATTTACAATTAAAATGAACTCTATCTAAACACTAAGTGCCCTGACTTTAAACACTAAATGCCCTGACTTTAAAAAGTATTTAAATCCTCCCTTTAAAAGATAAACAAAAACCAATAAGTTGGGAAGCTGCACCCCTTGCGTTTTCTCCATTGCTACTCTACATGCACTTGAGTGTATGTGGGAGTGAGTAGAAAAGGCACATCATCTTTTCTCCCATCACTTTTTACTCACATTCATTATAATATAGGAATTATCTCAGACCTATACAACATTGCCCAAATGAAACCTTGCTATTCTCAGTTTTCAGATCAGGAGAATGAAGTACAGAAATGTTAATTAGTTCTCAAGGACACACAGAAAATTACAATTAAGGCCAGGATTAGACTCTAGGCTTCCTGACTTCCACACCTTTCTTTCGTTAGGCTGTTTTTCTTTCGTGGTGTCAGTTTAGATTACTCATTCTTTTGAAGGACTTGGGGACTCTTAGGAAATGCATCATTAATAATCCCAGCATCCCTGGACGTGGGCACAGGTGGCATTCCCAGGTAACAGATGACGGGTTTTGAGCAGGATGTTGGGGAGGTTGAAGCATAAATTAATAGGACAGTAAATGAAGGTGTGAGGACAGCCTGGGCTGTTACCAAAAATCTAGCAAGCACTTTAGCACTGGGATTCCCTTTTCCCCCTGAGCTGCCTACTCCAGATGACCACCAAGCATTTGTTTTTAATCTAGTGCTGTCCCTGCAACTAATATTCAAGGGCATAAAGAACTTGTTGCTTCTGTTTTGATTTTTTTTTTTTTTTTTTTTTTTTTGCTTAGAAACAGCAGATTTGAGTGTAGTTTGTAAGAGTTTCATTGAACGGTACTGCACAAATAGTATTTAAACGTTTCCCCAACCCTAATTAGAATATTGTTTTATTACACTGCACGTTTCCTAAATCTCACACTAATTAAATGTATATTGTACTTCATTATTACCAACAAAAACTATCTGTGCTCAAGATTTATGATTATGTACTGCAGTGGTTGACGACTGTATCAGCATTTCAATTGCAAAGACATTTCAGAAGTTTAGAGCTTATCTTGAAAATTAATTGCATCTGAAAACCTGGCACAGCCTGTTCTTACACAGACCAGCCTGGGTCCCCCTTGTGGCTCCCGGCTCCTTTTTCTGGAACAGTTGCCAGGAGAGTGGAGTGAGGAGTGGAAGTAAGTAAAAGGAGGTAAGTAAAAGGAGGGTGGATGGGGGAGAGTGGAATGCCATCCTTTTCTCAGAGCCTTTCCACCAATCATTGGAATCTATCTGAAAATTTCTCTCTGCCTAATGAATACGGTGAGTGGACGGAGGCTTGGTTCCCAGCACTCCATTAGCAAGCCAGCCAGGTGCTGGCTGCTGTCTAAACTGGCATCCTTTTTCTTTTGTTTTTTATTTTTTGAAGCAAAGATTTTTAGCATTTGGTTTGTTTTTAGTTGATCTCAGCTGTGGAGTCAAGATACGCAGGTATTTGTTGGCTTAGAAGTAGATGGATGACCCTTGAAGGTAACTGGACTTTTTCCTGCCAGCTTGTCTGCTCAACTTTCCAAAGGGAAGACAGGGAACATTAATTGACAGCTACTCTGGCTAGTGGCCTGACAACTCAGGTAGGTGACATTTCTGCTTTGTGAGTTTTTATTGAACTCTGCCCAGGAGCATGAAAGAGCAGTTTTTCAAAGAAAAAAACCAAGAGAGTTTACCTTTTTTATTTTAATTTTTATTTTACTAGGAAGGTCTTGGTAATAGACTAGGAACTCTTTTGGCTTATTCTGAACATTAAAAATCAAAGAATATTGAACGAAAAACTTTAGGCTATATGAAACTACTCAAAATAATTACTTTGAAAATAGCCCTGCTGAATTCAGGGCTGTTTTTGCTTGCAAATAGCAGAAACCAACACACACCTCCTTAAGTAAATGGAAGCTAAGAGCTGGTACATAATATGAGTTTGCGATTGTAAACTGAGAAGTCTTCAGGAACCAAGATTCCTGTTCTTTTCACCTCTCTCATCCACACTTGGCTTCGTCTCTGTCTCTCCACAGCATATTTCATTTCTACATCATTTAGGGCACCTGCTTTACCCTCTGCTTCTCACTGTGGCCCGGTCCTCTCTGCCCGCCCATTCATCCACACAGTCTCCAAACAATCCCAGCCTTGAGAGTCTAAATGGCTTCCCAGTTCCAGTGACCACTACCAACTACTGCAGTTTTATGGTCTCAGTTTGAATTAATAACAGAGACTCTCATTGACTCAGCTTGGGTCAGATTTCCAGCCCATGTCAAATCAGTTTTAATGGCTGTGGTAGCACCAGGACTACTAGATACATTACTCATTTTTGCAGAGTCTGTGACAGTGGCATTGCCAAAGAAGAGAATGTTGGCTGGGCACCAAGGCACCCATCCCAATTGTGATGCAGTAGGACCCAAGGCTTTACAATATATACATATGTATGTGTATATATGTGTTTATATACATGGAAATGGCTTAATGACAAGCATTATCATTGGTGAAAGATGGCTGATGTAAAATAGTTTAATTCAATGGTTCTTAAGCATTAGAAGATATAAATATCCTTGGAAAGCCTATTAAAAATGCAGACGCCAGGGCTCCCGTCAGAGATCCTGATTGAGTAGTATGGCATACAGGAATCTGTACTTCTTAATAAGCCCTTCAGGTGAATCTGATGAAAATGGTCCACCTACCTCCTTTTGAGAAGCACAGGTTTCTCAGCTATTCTTAACATGCATTCAGGTATAATAAGTGATCAGTGGTGAAGAATTTCTTTGATGATACTTATGGTAGCCAACAAGGACTTCTGACTTCCCCATAGTGCTGGAACAGGTTAGGGAGCAACAATGAACTGCTTCTTACATCTAAGCTTCGACTGGGATTTAGTGATATGCATGTATAAACAGTTCAGGAGCCTATTCAGAGATCCCCCAAGTGTTTTTGTTTCACTAGATCTAGTTCCTGTCTGAAAAATAAAAGGTAAGTTAATTATGAAATAACACGGTCGTACTAATAATGCTATAGCAGTCAGCACTACAGTGAAACATGCCAGAATTGATTACATTAGCTTGCCTGGGAGGATTGATACTAAAGTGTCAGGAGTGACATGAAAGAAGTTTCTGTGCTATTAGTCCCACCTCACAGGAGCATTATTACAGAAGATAATTTAATTTCTTTCATCTTTGTTTCCAGGGTTTCATACCTTGCTGGAAATGCTAATTTTAAAGAGCACAGATTTGTAGTTTTTCATCCCCAAAGTTAAAAATACACTCCACATTTGCAAGCTTGCTGTTTCATGTGTGTTTCAGAATAGTTTGAGGTTTGCTGTTGGGGCAAGTATCTACTTCACAGAGCTCAGGGTTCAGCACGTTTTATTGGGTGGAAAAAACAAAGAAGTTGAGGCAGAATGAAATTAAAAAGAAATTAAAGGCCGGGCACCATGGCTTATGCCTGTAATCGCAGTCCTTTGGGAGGCTGAGGTGGGCGAATCACTTGAGGTCAGGAGTTTGAGACCAGCCTGGCCAACGTGGTGAAACCCAGTCTCTACTAACAATACAAAAATTTGGCCAGGTGCGGTGGCACATGCCTGTAATCCCAGCTACTCAGGAGGCTGAGGCACAGGAATCCCTTGAACCCAGGAGGCAGAGGTTGCAGTGAGCCAAGATTGCATCACTTCAGACTCCATCTCACAAAAAAAAAAAGAAAAGAAAAAATTAAGATATGAGGTTTGTACAGCCCGTACATCATCATCTTTCCACATGAAGCACAGAGGGTGGTTTTCCAGGCGCACACAGGCGCATGGCACCTGTGTTCATTTAAATGATTACGCATTCAACCAAATTTGAATGTGTGATGTGCAATCATTTGAATCGCTCATTATACATTAAAATAAACTAACACAAACACAACTCGTTCTCTGCTGCTTTTGAGAAACTAAGTAAATTAAATGAAATGAAGGTGATGCTAGGCTGCAAGATTTGACATACAAAGGAATCAGAAAATTATGTCTGACCATGATCAAATAACTTTCAGCCCTGGTGTGCAATTAGAAAAGCAGCAAAAGGAAGGACAGTATCTACTCCCTGCCTTGGACCACCATGCCTGAGACACCCAGACCACTTGTTTCACACGGGGCTTTGGGTGCTAGCCAAGGGATCATGTAGCATAAAGGGAAAGAGGAGAGAAAAAAAATTAAAAAGGCAAGTGAAAGGAGAGAATGTAGTCCTCAGGGAAGTGCTTACATTTCCCCCAGTTCTCCCATTATGATTGCCTATAGTCACTCTCTGCTCCTTTTAAAAAAAATTTTACGGCCAATGTTTGAGCCACTTGAGTGGGCTCTGATCGCTCAATCCACTAAAACTATTTTCACAGTTTAATCATCTTGCTAAATCCAAATGTCCTGTCTTTGTTGACCTGTCAGCATTTGAAGTGTTTGACCTGCCCACTCCTTCCTGAAACAACTTCTTCTCTTGGCTTCCAAGATAACACACTCTTCTAGCTTTCCTCCTCCTTTTCTCATAACCGTTCCTTCTGAGTCTCTTCCTCCCCCTCCTCCCCTGATCAATATCTAATGCTTGGCAAATGTTAGAGCTTGGTTTTGGATGGGCTGCTTTTCTCTCAGTGATCACATCTAGGCTTACACTTGCATACAGATGAATCAAAATGTACATGTCTGCGTCTAAAAGCATCCCTGAACTCCACATTTATATATTTAATGCTTACTTGATGTCCTCATCTGGGAGTCTTACAAAGATCTGAAACTTAAATTTTGTTTTTAATTTTTGTGGGTACATAGTAGGTGTATATATTTATGGGGTACATGAGATGTTTTGATACTAGCATTCAATGTGAAATAAGCACATCATGGAGAATGGGGTATCCATCCTCTCAAGCACTTATCTTTTGAGTTAAAAACAATCCAATTACACTCTTTATGTTATTTAAAAATGTACAGTTATTTACTACAATGTAACTCTGTTGTGCTATCAAATAGTAGGTCTTATTTTTTTGTATCCATTAACCATCCCCATCTTCCCTCTTCTCTAATCCCCCACTACCCTTCCCCTAGTAACCATCCTTCTACTCTTTATGTCCATGAATTCAATTGTCTTTATTTTTAGATCCCACAAATAATGAGAACATGCAATGTTTGTCTTCCTGTACCTGGCTTATTTCACTTAACCTAATAATCTTCAGTTCCATCCATGTTGTTGCAAATGACTGGATCTCATTTATTTGTATGGCTGAAGGGTATTCCATGTACCACATTTTCTTTATCCATTCAACTGTTGATGGACACAGGTTGCTTCCAAATCTTAGCTATTGTAAACAGTACTGCAACCAATATAGGAGTGCAGATATCTCTTCCATATGCTGATTTCCTTTCTTTTGGGTATATACCCAGCAGTGGGATTGCTGGATCATATGGTAGCTCAATTTTTAGTTTTTTGAGGAAACTCCAAACTGTTCCCTGTAGTGTTTCTACTAATTTACATTCTCACCAGCAGCATAAAAAGTTCCCTTTTCTTCACATCCTCTCCAGCATTTGTTATTGCCTGCCTTTTGAATATAAGCCATTTTAACTGGGGTTAGATGATGTCTCATTGCAGTTTTGATTTGCATTTCTCTGAAGAGAGATCTGAAATTTAACATGGTGAAAACATAACTCTGAACTCTTAATTTTTTTTTTAACACTGACCTCTTCTACTTAATATCATCTCCATCTACCTGGTTGCTCAGGCAAACAAAAAGTAAGTTATTCTCACTCCCCATTTTTTTCTCGATTCACCCTGCATCCAATTCACTGGCAAGTCCACTCAAGACTGCTATGTCCAAAATGCTTCCTAAATCTATCAGGTACCAACCACCACTATTCTTCTCCTTGATTAGTTTGATAACAGGCTTCTCTGCATTTCAGTAGCCAGAATGTTCTTTTCCCCCAATTTTCTCTATCTTTACTAATATCACCCTTGTGAATCTACCATCATATTTTTTCTGGCTACTGCAGTTGTCTCTTTACTGGTCTCCTAACTCACCAACCTAAGGTGTTCTCTAAGAATACAAATCAGATTTGACACTTCTTGTAGGAAATTCCTATTACATTTAGAATAAAATTCAAAATTACGACCTACAGAGCCTTAAAAAACCTATTCCTAATTTCTATGACTACATTTCTATAGTTCCTAATCTCACAGAATGTTCTTTTAAAAACTTAAATCAGACTTTGTTTTTCCTCAGATTAAAAACTGCCAAAGTCTCGTAATCCTTACCACACTGTACAATGTAATGTCTGTTAAGAAAGTTTTTTGGCTCCAAGTCATGGAAAAACTGACTAATGATGCCTTGAACAAAAAGGGATTTATTTTTCTCACAGAACAAGAAATCCTGAGTAAGCAATTAGTAGTATTGGTGCAGCTGTTTCATGATTCCATGAAGTACTCAGATCCTTGCTTTTTTCTCTCAGCATGTTCACATTTCACCTTATGTTTGTTGCCTCATGGTCCCAAGATAGTTCTTAAAGCTCCAGACATCACATCTACATCATCTGTGTTTAAGATAAGAAAAAGGTGGAGGAGAAAAGAGCTGTACCAGCAAACTCATTTCTGTTCCAGGCCTTTTTCATTTATCATTTTTTCAGCTGGAATGTGTTTTCCCCAGATTGTCTTATGATTTTCTTCTTGTAACTATTTTGGTCATAGCACAAATGTCATCTCAAAGAAATGAGTTACTAATACAAAGTAGCACCTCCTTGTTCCACGTCACTATCTGTTTTTTGTTTTTGGCTGTTTTCTTATAGAAATCTATATATTAGTTTGCTAGGGCAGTTGTAACAAAGTATCACAGACTGAGTGGCTGAAACAATTGAAATTTTATTGTTTCACAGTTCTGGAGCCTAGAAGTCTGAGATCAAGATGTTGGCAGGGTTGGTACCTTATGAGGGCTGTGAAGGAAATATCTGTTCCAGGCCTCTCTCTTTGGCTTGTAGTTGGCTGTTTCCTTTTTCTGTAAGTTTATCTTCTCTTTGTTGAGTTTCTGTGTCCGAATTCCTTCCTCTTATAATAATACCAGTCTTATTAGACTCCACCTAATGACCTCATTTTAACTCGATGTCCTCTCTGAAGACCCTACATCCAAATAAGGTCCCAATCTGAGGTATTGTGGTTAGCATTTCCAAAAGTGAATTTAGGGGGAGGGTACAATTCAACTTGTAACAAATACAGCAAATATGTGCTGAATGAATGCATGAATTTTAATCATAGCCACCATTTACTGAGTATCTCCTTTAATTCTCACAATGACCTAATGAAGTAGATACTATATTTCCTTTTACAAATGAAGAAACCTTAGCCAGAGATAACAGTGACTAGTATAGAGAGAGAGCAGGGAGGTAGCATACTGCAGGCAGAAAGATTGTAAAGGTGGGATGTCTCCAGCAAAATGGTGAGGAAAATGTCCTTTGAGACATCTTCATTATCTTTGATTGGTCATACTGAATCATGACTAGACAGGAAGACTAAAATAGAGAGTTTTGACAGGGGTTGGCAAACTCTTTTCTGTAAACGGCCAGATGGTACATATTTTAGGCATCTAAGTCATGTGGTCTGCTATGGCTACTCAACTCTGCCACTGTAGTGTAGCAGCAGCCATAGATAATAATGACTGGCTGTGTTCCAATAAAACTTAAAGCCATACCTCAGATATATTTCAGGTTTGGTTTCAGACCACCACAATAAACAAATATTGCAAACAAGCAAGTTACACACACTTTTGGGTTCCCAGTGCATATAAAGTTATGTTTATACTATACTGTAATCTACTAATTGTGCAATAACATTATGTCTAAAAATTGTACAAACCTTAAATAAAAAATACTTTGCTGCTAAATATTGCTAACAATCATCTGTGTCTTCAACGAGTCATATTCTTTTTGCTGGTGGAGGGTCTCGCCTCAATATAGAGGGCTGCTGAGTGACCAGGGTGGTAGTTGCTGAAGGTTGGGGTAGTTGTGGCAAGTTCTTAGAATGAGACAACAATGAACTTGTTGCCATCAATGGATTCTTTCTTTCATGAAAGATTTCTCTGTAGCATGCGATGCTGTTTTATAGCATTTTATCCACAGTAGAACTTCTTTGAAAATTGGGGTCAATCCTCTCAAATGCTGCTGCTGCTTTATTAACTAACTTGTGTAATAGCCTAAATTCTTTGTTGTCATTTCAACAATGCTCACAGAATCTTCATCAGGAGTAGATTCCATCCCAAGAAACACTTTCTTTGCAGATCCATAAGAAGCAACTTCTCATTCCTTCAAGTGTGATCATGAGACTAGAGCAATTCAGTCACATCTTTAGGCTCCAATTCAAACTCTGGTTCCTTTGCTATTTCTGCCATGTCTACAATTACCTCCTCCACTGAGATCTTGAATCCCTCAAAGTCATCCATAAGAGTTGGAATCAACTTCTTCCAAACTTCTTTACTTCTCTCACTCTTCACAGAATTGAAGAGATTTAGGTACTTGCTCTGGATTAGGCTTTGTCTTAAGGAAATGTTGTGACTAGTTTGGTCTTCTTTTGACACCATTAAGATTTCTCCATATCAGCAATAAGACTGTTTAGCTTTCTTATTATTCATGTGTTTGCTGGGTTAGCACTTTTAATCTCCTTCCAGAACTTTTCCTTTGCATCTACAACTTGGCTGTTTGGCACAAGAGGCTTAGTTTTTGTCGTATCTTGGCTCTTGATATGCCTTCTTCACTGAGCTCATTTCTAACTTTTGATTTTAAGTGTGAGATGTGTGACTATCATTCATTTGAATATGTAGAGGCCACTGTAGGGTTGTTAATTGGCCTAACTTTAATATTTTTGTAATTCAGGAAATAGGCTCAAAAAGAGGGAGAGAGATGGGGGGGAACAGCCAGTCAGTGGAGCAATCACAAGACACACTTATGATGAAGATTGCCATCTTCTATGGGTGTAGCTTGTAGTGACCCCAAAATAATAACATCAAATTATTAAATAGTAACATCAGCAATCACTGATCTTTGATCACTCAGTGAAAAAGTTTGAAATATTGTGAAGATTACCAAAATGTGACACACACAAAGTAAACACATGCTTTTGGAAAAATGGCTCCAACAAGACTTGCTCAATGCAGGCTTGCCATAAATTTGTAAAAAAATGCAATATCTGTAAAGTGCAATAAAGTGTGTCCCTGTATTTCCAGAAGTTGGTGGCTAGCTGGATTTGGCTTATGGGATGCAGTTTTCTGAAGCCTGAAAAGTCCTATGAAAATTTTCACTTTGATATTCTTTCCTTTTGTTTTCCTAAAAGTAAATTTATTTTGTTGATTTAGAAGTCGTGCTCACCTGCTGTCTTTTTGATGGGCAGTGTTTGCTTCCCTGTTTTGGATAAGGCTGTGCTAAACTCAAAGACTAATAAAGATGTTTAGGATATCCACGGATGTCCTCCAGAATGTTCTGTCCTCTGGGAAATTCTGCTTTGTCACCCAGTGTTAAAGCGAGAGCTCATTTCTTCCGTGACAAGGGAGAAGAGCCGCAGGGGTAGAGGAGAGATCAATGGGACAGGAGTGCACAACCTGTCAATCCTGAGTTTCTTTCCTGGCTCAGGGATGGACAAACATGTGGCTTTGGTGCCAGTTATTCCAATTCTCTGTGACTTGTTTTCTTCCTGATGATGTAGAAAAACACATTTTATTTAAGGACGTAATCCACCTTATAGGTAATCTAGATAAAAATACTTGCTAAATAAGCCAGGAAAAAGTGGCCTAATTTAGGAGTGCTAAAGAATTCACTCTTGTTGCCTGAACATTTATATTTTCAACTTGTGAGACCCTTTGCTCTTAGCCTTTGATGAGTTTCTTGTATTTCTTCCTGATTACAGGCCTTAAGGACTCATTCTGATTTTTTTTCCCTTCTCAGTATCTTCCTGCCCCACTGTAGTCTGGGGGTTCTTCTTTCTTCAAGTCTGGACTCAGAATGAGATGGAGCTTCCCATCAGCCCCACCCTCCACCCCTTAGGCAGTGTCCTAATCAGCCCACATTCAACTCATCTTAGGTAGTTTACTACCAGAGCAATCTGGGAACAAAGAAGGGATAACAGAAGTGAACATGGGAGTTATATGACTGATAAAGATTTTATCGTAGTGGAAACTGTTTTGATAACTCCTCTGTGTCTTCACTTGCTAAGTAAGAAAACTTTTTTTTTAATTACAAGAGTAAGAAATGGACCTCTGTTTTTGGTACTATGGTAGACTAGCTATCCTGAAAAGCCACCTAATACAAAACTCCTAGGAATGCTAGGTAAAATACAACAAACATCCTTTAAACACATAGCTGAAATTGTAGGACTATAAGATAAATCTCCAGGGGATCAAAACAAAGGAGGAGCTGGAAACCTGTGTAGCAATTTCATCCTGAAGCACTGGCTTCTGAGTGACGTTTGTCAGTTTTAATAACCAAGTGGGCTCTCTTGCAATGGCTGAACAGAAGGAAAGAGATGGGGCTTTAGATCCACTCAGGGTAGAAGGTTGGTTCTCTAAAGCCAGGACCTCAAGGGATACATCTTAAATAAAAGTATGGATTAGAAAAAAATGCAGCAGTCTGCAAAGGGAAATAACAAAGACACTTGTCTATCATGGCCCAAGCTCTAGGTTGGGGGTGCGGGGAGAGTCTTCTCTGATGCAATCAGGGCCTTCCCATATGTGGGTTTGGGATTGGATTTACACTACCTGAATCTCTAGGAAATCCTAGTTGGGGAATCAAAGTGGTTCTTGTTTGGAGGACCCCCAGGGTCCCAGGCAAAAGCAAATACACATCCTCCATGGAGGCTTGTCCCCACACTCAGTCTTTGCAGCATTCTTATAGGTTAAATCCCAAATATGACTTCCGAGTCCCAAATTTCAAAACAGAGAGGACATGAACCATTTTGTGTAAAAATGTTAGCAGAAACAAGCAAAAGCAAAATTAGATCCCCAATACCTGATATTGGAGTTATTAGATACAGAATATAACCATCATTAGTGGTATAGTGTGTTGTTAATACATGTGATAGAAGATTCAGTTAATTAGGAAGATGTAATTCTAAACTCATGTACCTAATATGTTAGGTCAAAAGTATAAAGCGAAATTTTATAAAATTCAGGTAGAAATTGTAAAACCCACCACCAAAGTGAAAGAAGTCTTTCACACAAATCTCTTGTGAGATCCCATACACCCAAAATTAGTAAGATCATGAGTTAAACTGCAAAATAAGTAAGATTGAGCTGTTGCACATATGTAGAAGCCTGTACCCAGCAATTAGGGAAATACATTAATTTTTATTGTGGCAAAATATACGCATAAGGCCGGGCGCGGTGGCTCACACCTGTAATCCCAGCACTTTGGGAGGCCAAGACGGGCGGATCACAAGGTCAGGAGATCGAGACCATCCTGGCTAACACGGTGAAACCCCGTCTCTACTAAAAATACAAAAAATTAGCCAGGCGTGGTGGCGAGTGCCTGTAGTCCCAGCTACTCGGGAGGCTGATGCAGGAGAATGGCGTGAACCTGGGAGGCAGAGCTTGCAGTGAGCTGAGATCGTGCCACTGCACTCCAGCCTGGGCAACAGAGTGAGACTCCATCTCAAAAAAAAAAAAAAAAAAAAAAAATATATATATATATATATATATATACACACACACACACAATTTACCATCTTTATTATTATTATTATTATTTTAGACAGAGTCTCGCTCTGTCACCCAGGCTGGAGTGCAGTGACATGTTCACAGCTCACTGCAACCTCTGCCTCCTGGGTTCAAGCCATTCTCATGCCTCACTTTCCCAAGTAGCTGGGATTACAGGCACACCACCACGCTCAGTTAATTTTTTTTTGGATTTTTAATAGAGACAGGGTTTCACCATGCTGGCCAGGCTAGTCTTGAACTCCTGACCTCAGGTGATCCACCCGCCTCGGCTTCCCTAAGTGCTGGGATTACAGGCGTGAGCCACCGTGCCTGGCCTATCTTAATTATTTTTAAATGTACTGTTTCAGTTGTGTAAAGTACATTCACATTATTATACAGCCAGTCTCCAGAACTCTTTTCATCCTGCAAAACGTAAACTCTTATACCCATTAAGAAAATAACTCCATGCTGGGCTCAGTGGTGCATGCATATCGTTCCAGCTTTGAGTCCAAAATTTAAGGCCAGGCTGGATGACATAGACTCAACCCTAAAAAAAAAAAAAACCAAAAACAATCTCCCGTTCTCACTTCCCCGAGCTTCTGGTAACCAACATTCTTTCAGTCTCTATGATTTTGACTACTCTTGGAGCCTCATATGAGTGGAATCATACCCCTGTGTGATTTGTACTTTTGTGACTGGCTTATTTCACTTAGGTTCATCCATGTGGTAGCATGTGTCAGAATTTCCTTCTTTTCTAAGGCTGATAATATTCCATTATGTTTATTTACCACATTTTAAAAATCCATTTACCATTGATGGACACTTGCGTCACTTCCACATTTGGCTATTATGAATAATGTTGCTATGAACACGGGTGTACAGACATCTATTTGAGTCCCTACTGTCAATTCTTTTAGGTATATACCTAGAAGTGAAATTGGTGGATCATATGTTAATTCTATTTTTAATTTTTTGAGGAATGGCCATACTGTTTTCTACAGTGGCTGCACCATCTTACATTCTCACCAGCAATACCAAGGGTTCCCATTTATCCACATCCTTGACAATATTTATTATTTTTGTTATTTTTTATTAATGGTAGCTATCCTAATGGGTGTTGGGTAATATCTCATTGTGGTTTTGATTTGCATTTCTCCAATGATTAGTGATGCTGAGCATTTTAAAAATGTGCTTATTGGCCATTTTATATCTTTTTAAGAGGAATAGCTAGTCACGTCTTTTGTCTATTTTTAAATTGTTTCATGGGTTATTGTTCTGTTGTAAACTTGTAGGAGTTATTTATATATTCTGGATATTAATCTCTTATCAGGCATATGATTTGCAAATATTTTCTCCCATCATGTGGGTTGCCTTTTTATGCTGTTAATAGTGTCCTTTGGTGGCTCACGCCTGTAATCCCAGCATTTTGGGAGGCCGAGACAGGCGGATCACAATGTCAGGAGATCGAGACCATCCCGGCTAACACGGTGAAATCCCGTCTTTACTAAAAATACAAAAAAATTAGCCGGGCGTGGTGGCGGGCGCCTGTATTCCCAGCTACTTGGGAGGCTGAGGCAGGAGAATGGCTTAAACCCGGGAGGCAGAGCTTGCAGTGAGCCGAGATCGCGCCACTGCACTCCAGCCTGGGCGACTGAGCGAGACTCCATCTCAAAAAAAAAAAAAAAAAAAATAGTGTCCTTTGGTGTACAGCAGTTTTAAATTTTGATGTAATCCATTTAGTCTTTTTTCTTTTGTTGTCTGTGCCTTTTGGTGTCATATTTAAGAAATCATTGTCAGACTCAATGTCACGAGACTTTTCTCCTATGTTTTCTTCTAAGAGTTTATAGTTTTAGCTCTTACACTTAAGTCTTTGATCCATTGTGAGTTAATTTTTGTGTAGGGTGTTATGTAAGGATCCAACTTCATTCTTTTCTTGTAGATATTCAGTTTTCACAATACCGTTTGTTGAAAAGACTGTCTTTTCCCCCCATTGAATTGGGAATTGACACCCTTGTTGAAAATCATTTGACCATACATAAGAAGGTTTATTTCTGGCTCTTTCTATTCCATTGGTCTGTATGTCTATTTTGATTAATTACTGTAAGCTTGTGGTATTTTGAAATCAGGAAGTGTGAGACCTCCAACTTTGTTCTTTTTCAAGGCTGTCTTGGTTATTCGTGGTCCACTGAAGTTTTATATGAATTTTAGGATGGATTTTTCTATGTCTGCAAAAATTGTTGGGATTTTAATAGAAGTTGCATTGAATTTGTAGGTTTCTTTAGGTGATATTGACATCTTTACAAAATTAAGTCTTCCACTCCATGAGCGTGAGATGTCTTTCCACTTATTGGTGTCTTTTTTAGTTCAGCAACATTTTATAGTTTTTCAGTGTACAGTATTTTGCCTGCTTCATTAAATTTATTCCTAGGTATTTTATTCTTTTTAATGTTATGGTAAGTGGAACTGTTTTCTTAATTGTTCTAGATTTTTCTTTGTTTGTGTGTAGAAATACAACTGATTTTTGTGTTTTGATTTTGTATCTGCAACTTTGCTGAATTCATTTATTGGTTCTAACAGCTTTTGGGGTGTGTGTGGAATCCTTAGGGTTTTTTACATATAAGATCATATTGTCTGTGAACAGAGATAATTTGACTTCCTCCTTTCCAACTTGGATGCCCTTTCTTTTCTTTTTTTTTTTTTCCTAATTGCTTTACCTAGGACTTCTAGTATTATGTTGACTAGAAGTGGCAAAGTGAGCATCCTTCTCTTGTTCCTGAATTTGGAGGAAAAGCTTTTAATCTTTTACCATAGACTGTGATGCAGCTGTAGGCTTTCAATATATGACCTTCATTATGCTGAGGTAGCTTCCTTCTATTCCTAGTTTGTTGAGTATTTACATCATGAAACAGTATTGAATTTTGTCAAATGCTTTTTCTATATCAATTGAGATGATCATGTGGTTGGTTTGTTTTTTTCACCTTTGTTCTCTTAGTGTGTTGCATTATATTGACTGATTTTCATATGGTAAGATATCCTTTGCATTCCAGGAATAAATCCCACTTGATCATAATGTACAGTCCTTTTAATGTGCTGCTGAATTCTGTTTGCTAGTATTTTGAGGATTTTTGCATCAATATTAATTAATTAATTCTTTTCTTGTCGTGCCTTTGGATTTTGTATCAAGTTGATGTTGGGCTCATAGAATGAGTTTGGAAGTGTTCCCTCCTCTTTAATTTTTGGAAGAGTTTGAGGAAGATTGGCATTAGTTTTTCTTTCAATGTATTGTAGAATTAACCGGTAAAATTTCCTGGTCCTGGGCTTTTCTTAGACAAGAGGTTTTTCATTACTGAGTCAGTCTCCTTGCTAGTTATAGATATGTTAATATTTTCTGTTTCTTCACAATTCAGTCTTGTTAGGTCGTGTGTTTCTAAAATTTGTCCAATTCATCTATGATATTCAATCTGTTGTTCATAGTACTCTCATAATCTTTTTATTCTGTCTGTAAAAATTGGTAGGAATGTCCCCCTTTTCATTTCTGATTTTACTTATTTGAGTCTTTATTATTTCTTCTGCTAGCATTGGGTTTAGTTTGGTCTTTTTTCTGGTTCCTCATTAAGGCATAAATTTAGGGTGTTCATTTAAATCTTTTTTTCTATTTAAGATGATTTTATAGTAAACATGAATTTGTCAGAGTTCAATATAATTAGAAAATCTTTGTCTTCTTATTTGAAACCTTTTTTATTTAAAAAAATTTTAGTTGACACAATAATTGTACAATTTATGAGATACAAAGTGATATTTTGATACATGTATACAGTTGTAATCAAATCAGGGTAATCAGCATATCCATTATTTCAAACATTTATGTTTACTGTTTTATACTTTCTAATCCTCTGTCACAATTCTCTATCTTGTTATTTTTTAAAACATTAATTGCAGTTGTTTCAGGGTCTATATCTGTTAATTTCATTATTTAGGTCTCTAAGTCTGTTTCTATTGTCTTTTTTGGTTGGAATTTGGTCAATTCTTATCTTTTTTTTTTTAAATTTAACTCTTATTTTTAAAAAGTTATTTCAGTACTTTTGGGGGAACATGTGATATTTGGATACATGGATAAATTCTTTAGTGGTGATTTCTGAGGTTTTGGTGCACCAATCACCCAAGCAGTGTACATTGTACCCAATGTGTAGTCTTTGCATCCTCATAGCTTAGCTCCTGCTTATAAGTGAGAATATACAATATTTGGTTTTCCGTTCCTGAGTTAATCAACTTAGAATAATGGTCTCCAACTCCATGCAGATTGCTGTAAATGGCATTATTTTGTCCTTTTATGGCTGAGTATTATTCTATGGTGTATATATACCATGTTTTCTTTATCCACTCACTGATTGATAGGCATTTAGGCTGGTTCCATATTTTGGAAATTGCAAATAGTATTGCTCTAAACATGCATGTGCAAGTGTCTTTTTCATATAATGACTCCTTTTCCTCTGGGGTATACCCAGTAGTGGGATTGCCAGATCAAATGGTAGTTCTACTTTTAGTTCTTTAAGGAGTCTCCATACTATGTTTCATAGTGGTTGTACTAGTTTATGTTTCCACCAGCAGTTTAAAAGTGTTCGCTTTTCACCAAATCCCTGCCAAAATCTATTATTTTTTAATTTTTAAATTATGGCCATTCTTGCAGGAGTAAGGTGGTACTGCATTGTGGTTTAGATTTACATTTCCCTGATAATTAGTGATGTTGAGCATTTTTTCTTATGTTTGTTGGCCACTTTTATATCTTCTTTTGAGAATTGTCTATTCATATCCTTATCCCACTTTTTGATGGGATTTTTTTTTTCTGATTTGAGTCCCTCGTAGATTCTGTATATTGATCCTTTGTTGGATGCACAGTTTGTGAATATTTTCTCCTACTCAGCAGGTTGTCTGTTTGCTGATTATTTCTTTTACTGTGCAGAATCTTTTTAGTTTAATTAAGTCCCATCTATTTGTCTTTGTTTTTGTTCCATTTGCTTTTGGGTTCTTGGTCATGAAGTCTTTGTCTAAGCCAATGTCTAGAAGAGCTTTTCTGATGTTATCTTCTAGAATTTTTATGATTTCAGGTCTTATATTTAAGTCTTTGATCCATCTTGAGTTGATTTTTGTATAAGGTGAGAGATGGGATCCAGTTTCATTGTTCTGTGTGGCTTGCTAATTATCCCAGCACCATTTGTTGAATAGTGTGTCCTTTCCCTTACTTTATGTTTTTGTTTGGTTTGTTGAAGATCAGCTGATTGTAAGTGTTTGACTTTGTTTCTGGGTTCTCTATTCTGTTCCATTGGTTTATCTGCCTATTTTTATACCAGTACCATACTGTTTTGGTGTTTCCCATTTCATTTCCAATTGAGCTTATTTGGTTTTTCTCTCTTAGTTTCTTGGTTAATTTCACTAGTGGCCTATCAATTTTGTTTATCTTTTCAAAGAACCAGCTTTTTGTTTCATCTATCTTTTGTATTTTTTTGTTCATTTCAGTTTCATTTAATTCTGCTCTGATCTTGGTTATTTCTTTTCTTCTCTTGGTTTGGGTTTTGTTTGTTCTTGTTTCTCTAGTTCCTTGAGGTGTGACCTTAAATTGTCTGTTTGTGCTCTTTCAGACTTTTTGATGTAGGCATTTAAGGCTATGAACTTTCCTCTTAGCGCCACTTTTGCTGTATCTCAGAGGTTTTGATAGGTCACTATTATTGCTCAGTTCAAAGAATGTTTTAATTTCCATCTTGACTGTATTGTTGACCCAAAGATCATTCAGGAGCACATTATTTAATTTCCATGTATTTGTATAGTTGTGAGGGTACCTTTGGAGTTAATTTGAAATTTTATTTCATTGTGGTCTGAGAAAGTACTTGATGTAATTTTTATTTTCTTAAATTTATTGAGATTTGTTTTGTGATATAAGAATAACGACTCCTGCATACTTTTGGTTTCCATTTGCATGGAATATCTTTTTCCACCACTTTAAGTTTATGGGAGTCCTTACATGTTAGGTGAGTCTCTTGAAGACAGCAGATACTTGGTTGGTGGATTTTTACCCATTCTGCCATTCTGTATTTTTTAAGTGGAGAATTTAGGCCATTTACATCATGCCAATTGTTGCCCGAATACCTTGTGTTTTTTTCATTGTGTTAATATTTTATAGGCTCTGTGAGATTTACACTTTAAAGAGGTTGTATATCGGTGTATTTCAAGGTTTTGTTTCAAGATTTATATCTCCTTTTAGCATTTCTTGTAGTGCTCAGTTGGTAGCAGTGAATTCTCTCAGCATTTGTTTGTCTGAAAAAGACTTTATCTCCCCTTCATTTATGAAGCTTAGTTTTGCTGGATACAAAATTTTGGGCTGATAATTATTTTGTTTAAAGAGGCTAAAGATAGGACCCTTTGAAGTTGTAGGGTTTCTGCTGAGAAATCTGCTGTTTATCTGATAGGTTTTCCTTTATATGTTACCTGGATGCTTTTGCCTCCCAGCTCTTAAGATCCTTTCCTTTTTATTGACTTTAGGTAATCTGATGACTATGTGCCTAGGTGATGATCTTTTTGCAATAAATTTCCAGGGTGTTCATTGAACTTCTTGTATTTAGATGTCTAGATCTCTAGCAAGGCCAGAGATGTTTTCCTCGATTATTACCTCAAATAATTTTTCCAAACTTTTAGATTTCTCTTCTTCCTCACAAACAGCAATTAATCTTATGTTTGGTTGTTTAACATAATCCCAAATTTCTTGGAGGCTTTGTTCATTAAAAAATTTTTTTTTCTTTGTTTTTGTCAGATTGGGTCAATTCAAAAGCCTTGTCTTCAAGTTCTGGAGTTCTTTCTTCCACTTGTTCTAGTCTATTGTTGAAATTTTCCAGTGTATTTTGTATTTCTCTGTGTGTCTTTCATTTCCAGAAATTGTGATTGTTTTTTCTTTATGACATCTATTTCTCTGAAGACTGTTTTATTCATATCCTGTATTTTTTTAAAAAAAATTGTTTAAGTTGGTTTTTACAATTCTCTGGTACCTCCTTGAGTAGCTTAATAATCAACCTTTTGAATTCTTTATCTGGCAATTAAGATTTCTTCTTGGTTTGGATTCATTGCTGGAGAACTAGTGTGATCTTTTTGGGGGTGTTCTAGAAACTTGTTTTGTCATACTACCAGAATTACTTTTATGGTTCCTTGTCATTTGGGTAGACTGTTTCATTGGAAATATCTAGAACTCAAGGGCTGCTGTTCAGATTCTTTTGTCCCATGGGGTGATCCCTTGATGTGGTGCTCTCCCCCTTCCCCTAGGGATGGGCTTCCTGAGAGCCAGACTGCAGTGATTGTTATTGCTCTTCTGAGTCTAGCAACCCAGTGGGGCTACTGGGCTCTGGGCTGGGGCTGGGGAATATCTGCAAAGAATCTTGTGATGTGATCTATCTTAAGGTCTCCCAGCCATGGATACTAGCACCGGCTCTGGTGGAGGTGGCAGGGGAGTGAATTGTGAAGTGGATTCTCTGAGTCCTTGTTTGTAGTTTTGTTTTGTGCACTGGTTTCCTTACATGCTGGTTATGCTGGCAGTGACATAATTACATGGACAGACTCAGGACCTCTGGTTAGCCAAGATGTTGCAGGCAGTGGAATTAGCTGTTGTTTTCTCCTTCTTTGGAGCATCGTTGTTCTGTTATGAGTTGCTGTAATGGCTTGAGTTGGTTGGCCTCCAGTCAGGAGGTGGTGCTTTCAAGAGAGTACCAGCTGCAGTAGTATAAGGTGGATATAAGTTTGCCCTGAGTTGTCCAGGATAAGTATTCAGGTTTGTCAGGCAATGGGAGGGGCCATAGAGCTCCCAAGAGTTTGTCTTTTGTCTTTGGCTACCAAGGCAGGTAGAGAAAAACCATCAGGTGGAGGCAGGGTTAGGTGGTTCTGAGCTCAGACTCTCCTTGGGTGGGGGTTGCTGCAGTCATTGTGTGGGATGGAGGGGTAGTTCTCAGGCCAATGGAGTTATGTTCCAAGAGGGATTACAGCTGCCCTTCCTGCGTCATGCAGGTTGCCAGGGAAGTGAGGGAAAGCTGGCAGTGACAGGCCTGACCCAGCTCCCACACAGCCAGCAAGGCCAGTCTTACTCCCACCATGCCCTGCCAGCAGTGCTGAGTTTATATCCAGGCAGCTGGTGGATATGGCTGAGATCTTGCCCCAGGCTACAAGCCTCTCAACTGAGAAAGCAAGCAGGTCTTTCAGACCATGACCCTCCCTGCCTGCCTGCACCATCAGCTGCAGCTTCTGTGCTAGTACCTGCACTTGATTCATCCCCTGGATTCTGCTCAGGAAAATTAGTGCTCAGTTGAAATTATTACAAAGTTCAGCTAGAAGCTTCTTTCACCCTGTGGCCTCTCCCTAATTTTGCTGGCTACCTTCCCCAAGGATCTCTGTGAGGTAAAGTCAGGGATGGCTTCCTTGGGCTCAAGCTGGGAAATGGGAGTGCCTATAGAACTCTTCCCACTGCTTCTTCTACCTTTATATTTCACTGGGTTCCCTAAATCTATTTCAGCTCTAGGTAGGTTAAATCCTTCTCCCTTGATCTGGATTTTCTGGTTCCCCAGTGGGGATGTGTGTTTGGAGGCAGACTTATCCCCTCTCACACTTTGAGAACTCACAGTTTTTCAGCTGTCCCGTGGAGTTTACAGTGGCATGCCACTTTTTTCAATGGGTGTATTTGAAGCCTTTTAAACAATAATTCTTACACTGACCACAAAACTTGTCATGTGGCAGACTCTTTCTAGAAGAAACTAGAATGTCATCCTGTGTGCAGTTTCCTGCACCAGTCCCAACCACATGAGCCCAGCTAGGAGCTCTGTGTGTCCATCTACTTTTCCGCAGACCACCGTGGCTGCCCTGTTACAGGTCTTCTCTGCTATTTCCAGCTTGTCTTCATTGAAAGCCCAAGATTTTGGATCTCTTTTCTTCTTCTTTTCAATGTTGTCTTTATTTTTCTCTTTGCTTCCTTCCTTCTCCTTTGCCAGGGAACACCTGTCCCTCCAGAGGTGCGTCAGCACACTTGTCTTCACTGACAAGAGTTCTTGATCTCCCAGGCATATTTTCCATCATGAAGCATGAAGATAGTATGGTCTGATCCCACAATGAACCTCTGGACATTTCATTAGCATTGAAAAGACTGCCCTGACAGAGGCTCATGATTTCGTCTCTCTTTCTCAGTGGGGTTCCTGATACAGCGACAAACATATAAGAATCTTCCCTTCTTTCATCATTTTCAACGTGCTTTCAGGCTTGCCCAGGTTGATATATAAGAATTGATAGGTATTGAGGGTCTCTTGTGCTCTGGAAGATCTTTTTTTATGTCATCATCCTTCTCCCACTCTACCAGAAGACATGCCATGTCTATATCATTGTAATCATGAATATCTTCCTTCTTCTGAGGAAGTGAGAGAGCCTTACTGGGTGTTCTGGCTGGGCCCTTGGCTGCACAAGCCCCAGGTAGCTGCTGCTGCAGCAGCAGGCCAGAGGCATGAATTAGGACCATTTCCATGCACACCTAGCTGAAGGTTGCCATTTTCTCTTTCTTCATTTTGAGTATATATGTTTGTTTGCATCTACAAATTTCCCTATTAACACTGCTTTTGCTGCATCCCATGGATTTTGGTATGTTGTGTTTTCATTTTCATTTGTCTCAAGATATTTTCTAATTTCTCCTTTATTTTTTGACCCAATGGTTGTATAAGAGAGTATTGTTTAATTTCTACATATTTGTAAATTTTCCCATTTTTTTCTGCTATTGATTTCCAGTTTCATTCCATAGTGGTTGGAAGAGATAACTTGTATGATTTCAGTCTTTTTTAATTTATTTCATGCCCTAACATGTAGATTTTTCTGGATAATGTTCCAAATATACTTGAGAAAAAATGTGTTTTTTTTGCTTTGTTGGATAAAATATTCTATGTATGTCTGTTAGGTCCAATTGGTCTTTAATGTTGTTCAAGACCTCTGTGTCCTTATATTCTGTCTTATATGCTGTCTAGCTGTTCTATCATTAATAAAAGGTGGGGTATTAAAGTGTCTTACTATAATTATAGATCTTTTTCTCCTTTTTAATTCTGTCAATGTTTGCTTAATATATTTAGGACCTCTGAAGTTTGCTATATATGTTTATAATTGTTATATCTTCTAGATGAATCAACCCTTTTATCATTACATAATATCAACATTTGTGTCTTGTAACAGTTTTTGACTTAAAGCCTATTTTGTCTCATATTAGTTTAGCCATCCTTGCTTTCTTTGGTTATTATTTTTATAGTATATCTTTTTCCATCTTTCACTTTCAACCTAAGCATGTCCTTAGATCTAAAGTGAGTCTCCTGTAGATAGCATATAGTAGAATCATATTTTAAAAAATTTAATTGGCCAATCTATGTCTTTTGATTGGGAAGTTTAACCTATTTACATTTAAAGTTATTGCTGATAGGGCAAGACTCACTATTGGTAGTTTGTTATTTTCTTTCTGTGAGTATTATAGTTTTCTTTGTCCCTCATTCCTTCCTTCTTGCCTTCCTTTATGTTTAATTATTTTTGTAGTGACACATTTTTGATTACCTTCTCATTTTCCTTTGCATATATTCTATAGATATTTTCTTTCTGGTAACCATTATAACAATATTCTAAAATTATATAAATATTCTAAATTCTAACAATATTCTAAAATATTCTAAAATTATAACAATATTTTTAAACTGATACCAACTTAAGTTTCATATAAAAATATTACTCTTCTAGAGCTATGCCCCTTTATGTTATTAACATAACACATTACATTTTAATATATTGTGCAACTATTTTTTTTTTTTTTTTGAAATAGAGTCCCTCTCTCCTGCCCAGGCTGGAGTGGAGGGGCGAGATCTTGGCTCAGTGCAACCTGCACCTCCCAGGCTCAAGCAATCCTCCCACCTCAGCCTCCACAGCTAGCTGATGATGATGATGATGATGATGATGATGATGATGATGATGATGATTATTATTATTATTATTATTATTGTATTTAGAGACAGGGTTTCACCATGTTGCCCAGGCTGGTCTCAAACTCCTGGACGCAAGTGATCCACATGCCTTGGCTTCCCACAGTGCTGGGATTACAGGTGTGAGCCACTGTGCCCAGACCTATTGTGTAGCATTAATATAGATTTATTTTTTACGCTTTTGCTTTTATATCCTGTAAAGGAAGAAAAAGTGAAATTATAAACCAAAATTATAATACTGGTTTTGGTATTTGTTCATGTGTTTACCAAGGAACTTTATATTTTTATGCAGTTTTGAATTACTGTCTAGTATGCCTCTATTTAAACTTGAATAAATCACTGCAGCATTTCTTGTAGGGCAGATCTGGTGGAAATAAATTTCTTTATTTGCTTTTCTGGAAATTTCTTAATTTCTCTCATATTTTTTGAAGAATAGTTTTGTCAGATATAGAATTATTGGTGAAGTTCTTTTCTCTTTCAACACTTTAAATATATCATCCTACTGCCTTTTGGCTTGCATGGTTTCTGCTGAGAAATCTGATAGTCTTACTGAGTATCCCTTGTATGTGACAATTTGCTTTTTTCTTGCTACTTTCAAGAATCTCTTTTAAAAATTTTCTTTTAAAATTTTTGTGGGTACATAGTAGGTGTATATATATATATATATATATATATATATATATATATATATATGATATTTTGGGATATTTTGGTACAGGTATACAGTGTGTGATAATCACATCAGGGCAAAAGGGGGATCTGTCACTTCCAGCATTTATCCTTTGTGTTACAATCAAATTGTACTCTTTTAGTTACTTTTAAATGTACAATTATTGACTATAGCCACCCTATTGTGCTATCAAATACTAGGTCTTATTCATTCTAACTACTTTTTGTACCCATTAACCATCCCCATTTCTGCCCCAATTCCCTACCTCCCTTCCCAGCTTCTGGTAGTCATCCTTCAAGAATCAGTCTTTGTCTTTTGATAGCTTGATTATAATGTGTCTCAGTGTAGTTTTCTTTGGGTTTATTCTACTTGGAGCTTGTTCAGCTTCTTGTATTTGTATATCTATGTATTTCCTCAAATTTGGGAAGCTTTTGGCCATTATTTCTTCAAATAAACTCTCTACCCCTTTCTTTCTATTCTCCTGAGATTCCTTTAATGTATATTTTGGTTGGCTTGATGGTATCCCATAGTCCCTTAGGCTCCATTCACTTTCTTCTTTTTTCTTTTGCTACACAGACTTGATAATTTCCAATAACCTGTCTTCAGGTTTGCTGATTCTTTCTTCTTCCTGTTTTTATCTGCTGATGAACACTTCTAATATATTTTCTCAATTCAGTGTTTGTTTTGCAGTTCCAGAATTTGGTTATTAAAAAAATTTCTATTTGAACTTATTTGTGACAGTTGTTTTAAAGTCTTTGTCTAGTAAGTCCAAAGCCTGTATTTCTTTAGGGTTGGTTTTGGAAATTTCTTTTCCTTTGAATGAGTCATATTTCTGTTTCTCTGTATGACTTGTGATTTTGCTTTGGTTGAAAATTGGGCATTTGAAAAACGGCCACCTTTCCTAGTCTTTGCTGACTGTCTCTGTAAGGGAGATGGTATACCTTCTCATAAGGCCAGCATGAAGGCTTAAGTTGTTCTCAGATCTTTTGTCAGCAAACACATTCTCTGGGTCTGTTTGTATGCTTCCCTCCCACCCCAACCTCATTCTCCTATATATATAGCTGCTTTTAAATGTCTTAATTTCCTTAAGAATCTCATCCCTGCTTCTTCTCAGGGCCTGGAACTCTTGCATTATTCTTTCTGCAATCTCTTATCTCCAGATGTTCATGAGTCAGAAGTCCCCCTGCAGTCTTCACATGCCATGGCACCCACCACTGCCATCAATGTTTTCCAACCTGATATCCAAACGATGCTGGCATTTCTATCTGAACTCTGGGTTAGATTATATAGAAATCATTTCCATGGTCAGCCCACAGACAGGTCAGAATATTGCAAACAAGTTTCACACTTTTCCTTTCATCCTGCAAGAGGGAGCCAGAAAATGGGCCACTTCCTCCCAACAATGCCATGCCAGAGAGAAGGTAGGGCAAGGTTGAGCTAAAATGCCGCAATATTACTGCCATTTTGAGTATGGCTTTTTTTTTTTTTTTTTGATTGGACATTTACTTGTTTGCTGCAGATCTTTGGTCTCCAGGGCTCCTATAAAGCTATTTTAGTCATTAGTTGTTTACTAGATATTTCCTTGGAAGAATGAGAGTCTGGCCATGTGCAGTGGCTCACGCCTGCAATACCAGCACTTTGGGAGGCCGAGGCAGTCAGATCATCCGAGGTCAGGAGTTGGAGACCAGCCTGGCCAAAATGGTGAAACCCTGTCTCTACTAAAAATACAAAAAAAAAAATTAGCCAGGCATGGTGGTACATGCCTGTAATCCCAGCTACTCAGGAGGCTGAGACAGGAGAATTGCTTGAACCTGGGAGGTGGAGGTTCAGTGAGCTGAGATCGTGCCACTGCACTTCAGCCTGGGAGTGAGACTATGTCTCAAAAAATAAATAAATAAATAAATGGGAGCCTGGGACTTCCTGTTCTATCATCTTGCCGATGTCCTCAAGAAATATATTCTTAAGCACACACATGAAACCTTCACAAAAACAGATTATATGTCAGTTCAAAACTCATCTCAATAACTGTCAAAAAATCAGTATTAGAGTATACAGAAACTTTTCTTGCTTTAATGCATTTAAGGTTAGACTTGATAATATAAGGGCAGTCTTACAGATTTCAAATCACACAACAAAGCAACTTAGGTGAAAAAGAAATGAGGCTCAATTCAAGAGATCAAAACCATCCTGGCTAACATGGTGAAACTCCGCCTCTACTAAAAATACAAAAAAATTAGCCAGGCATGGTGGTGGGCGCCTGTAGTCCCAGCTACTTGGGAGGCTGAGACAGGAGAATGGCGTGAACCTGGGAGGCAGAGCTTGCATTGAGCTGAGATCACGCCACTGCACTCCAGCCTGGGTGACAGAGTAAGACTCTGTCTCAAAAAAAAGAAAAAAGAAAAAGAAATTAGGCTCAATTAAATTACCTTTTAAAAATTAAAATGGCATGAAGGCATTTCAGATTGAAAAGCAAAACAAGGGAGGATCTAAAATACTTTTAATAATAGCAACAACAAAAAACTATACATATAAAAGCTTGTGGGTTGCAGCTCAAATACGATTTAGAGGAAAATTAATGGTCTTAAATGCCAGTATTGGAATATTAATGAGCCAAACAATGCTACTCTATCTTGAGCACATGAAACAATGCTGGCCACATAATAGACACACAAATATTTGTTGAATGAATTATTGAATAAATCTAACTTAAGAAATTCGATACAGAAAAACACGGAGTTGGCCCCAAAGAAAGTAGAAGGAAAAAGAAAGTAACAGAAAAGAAAATAGATATTATTGAAATAGAAAATATATAATAGAGGGAGTCAATAAAGTCAGAAGTTAGTTGTTCCAAAAGTCTAATTTCATCGACAAACCTATAACACATACAGCAGTCAACTGGGAGGCGGAGGTTGCAGTGAGCCAAGATCATGCCACTGTGTCCCAGCCTGGGCAACAAAGCGAGATACTGTCTCAAAAAAAAAAAAAAAAAAAAGCAATTAAATCATATCTTGAATACTCTGGTAATTATTGTCTTCAGGTAAGCTGAATGAAAATGAGTGTTAGTATTTACCTTTGAGAATTTGTTTAAAGGTCCAAATTCAAATGCCCTCATGTCCAGACAGACTGCCTTTTACCATTCTCCCATGGACAAGGAGTAACAGGGCATCAATATCATGATAGCCTTGTTTGATTTGCCTCCTGCTTAGGTTTGTCTCCAACTGGGCAGACCAGATGGGAATTAGTTCATGAGAACCACACCGCAGATGAGTTTGGGAGTTTGCTCGATGCAGTGTTTTGATATGGGGATTGAGAAATTCAGAGTCCCAGATCCATTTCAATGGCCTTTTGCGTTGGCCTCTGTGTGACCTGTGATTAAGCGCTGGCATCAGCCCACTCTAGTAGGCTACTGTAACTGCATCCTGGACTGTGACTCACTTCAGTGGTGGGCTGGTGGCTGGAGAAGTAGCAGCATCTATACTCAAGACACACAGGTGACACTTCCTCATAGTCCTCACAGCTCACCATCAGGACTTCTGACTAGCCATTGTACCAAACCAAGCTTTACTCATCTTGATTTGGTGACTTGAGCAAGCAACTGTCATTCTTAACATTATGCTACTTTCCTGGATATACTTCCTACATCTTTTGGTTAGAAAATCTATTATCAGGACAGATGAGGCATTTATTCATTAATTCAACAAGTATTTATTGAACATCTCTTTTCCAAGTGTGCTATAAATACTGAATTAATACACAATATTCCCTGTTTGAAAGAAATATCTTTAATGGAATTACTCCCTGCATATGGCTTACAGGATCAATGTGGGTCATGTTTTTGCAGTGGGCCTCTAGATGACACCAGGATTTATAGTTCTGATCACTTTTTGCACACTAGTCACACTACTACAAGTTGAATATCCCTTATTTGATATCCTTGGGACCAGAAGTGTTAAAAATTACAGATTTTTTTGAATTTTGAAATATTTACATATACGTAATAGGATATCTTGGGGATGGGGCCCAGGTCTAAACACAAAATTTGTATTTCACATACAGCTGATACACATAGCCTGAAGGTAATTTTATTTTCTCTTGGGGATGCTGAACAAAGTGTGTTTTGGGTGCCTGCATTTTTACTGTGACCTGCCACATCAAGTCAGATGTGGAATTTTCCACTCATGGCATCACATTGGCACTCAAAAAGTTTCTGATTTTGGAGCATTTTGGATTTCAGATTTTTGGATTTGGGATGCTCAATCTGTATTGCTGATCACATGTCCTTTTCTGGGACTCCAGGATTTCCAGGAAAACAGCTTGGAATGAAATATATATGTGTGTATATATATCTTACACACACATACATACACACACACACACACACACACACATACACGCAAATATGTGCTGAATGTGGCAGGATACACAAAAGAAACCACAGCAGGCCTTATCACACTATGTAGCCCAGGATGGACAACTAGGAAATGAGGAAGACCAAGAGCTCAGTGGGCATTGGGCAGGATGAGGCAGCTTGCCTGAGCGGAAGCACCAGCGCAGACCCTGCATCAGAGACAGAGCTTTACTAGAGGTTGGCATTGACCAGAAAATGGATTTCACATGCATAGAGAGTGGAAAGACTGCGCTGGTCTTTTTTGCTACCCTCGTGCTTGAAGTTTTACTAGCCAACTTAAATGTAAATGCTATGATTAGCTCTGGTCCAAATTTTTATAAAGCAGTGGTTCTCAGAACAATTTTACACTCTTAAAAGTTTTGAGGTCGGGTGTGGTGGCTCATGCCTGTAATCCTAACACTTTGGGAGGCAAGGTGGGTGGATTGTCTGAGCTCAGAAATTTGAGACCAGCCTGGGCAACATGGTAAAACCCCGTCTCTACTAAAAATACAAAAAATTAGCTGGGCGTGGCATGTGCACCTGTAATCCCAGCTACTAGGGAGGCTGAGGCAGGAGAATTGCTAGAACCTGGGAGGCACAGGTTGCAATGAGCCGAGATTGCGCCGCTGCTCTCCAGCCTGGGCGACAGAGCGAGACTCTGTCTCTCAAAAAAAAAGTTATGAGAGCCCACAAAAACCTTTGTTTGTATGAATCATATGTATGAATATAGTAAATACTGTATTAGAATTAGAAATTACTGTATTAGAAATGAAAACAGAACATTAAAAAAAATTTAAAATAAGAATAAGCCCATTGCATGTAAAACATAAAATGTTGTAATGGAAAAGAATGTACTTTTCAAAATAATCTAGTGAGAAGAGTGGCATTGTTTTTTATTTTTAATGTCTGGCTTAACAGCAAGCGGCTAGATGCTCATACCTGCTCCTGCATTCAGTCTATGCCCATGTTCCATGTCATGGAGCCTCTGGAAACTCCACTCTATGCTCGTGAGAGAATGACAGTAAAAAGGCAAATCATGTCTTTGTGTTATTAGGAAAATAGTTTTGTGTTTGTGGACCTCCTGAAAAGGACTTAGACCCTCCCAGGGGAATCTAGACCACACTTTGAGAACACTGTTCTAGAATTTCATGGCTGACAAGGTGCTTTCAACATATGTCAACCCTTGTCTTTTCCACACAGGTTTCACTGAGGACAGAGGAAGGTTAAGGTATAACCCTGGGGCCTAGATGAAGCAGCTTACTGTAAGTGTGGAATTTCTTTTTTTTTGGACAGAGTTTCACTCTTGTTGCCCAGGCTGGAGTGCAATGGCGCAATTTCAGCTCACTGTAACCTCTGCCTCCCAGGTTCAAACAATTCTGCCTCAGCCTCCCTAGTAGCCGAGATTACAGGTGCCTGCCACCACACACGGCTAATTTTTTGTATTTTTAGTAGAAATAGGGTTTCACCATGTTGGCCAGGCTGGTCGTTAGCTCCTGACCTCAGATGATCCACCAGCCTCGGCCTCCCAAAGTGCTGGGATTACAGACGTGAGCCACCATGCCCAGCTGGAATTTATTTAAAGATTGTTATTTTATATTAAACATTCATTTGAATTTTGCATGCAATTTCAAAATATATCTGTGTTTGTTTTAATACGACCATTTCTCCTTTAATCATTGAAACATTCACCTCCAAGGGGATTACTCATGTTGATCCTGTGGTTTCTTATACACCCTGAATCCAGGGTGAGAAGCATAGACATTAGGGACTTCATAATGACGCCAAGTAGTGGAAACAAGCCCCATTGTTATGGATTAGGAAGTTAGAGCCTAGAGAGGTTAAATGCCTTTGTGGAAATAAAGATCAGCCAAATGAGAACAAGCAAAGCCTATTTATTCAGAGCTTGCTATAGCAAGGGAGTCAGCCACTGTCACTTGTGTTTTGACAGAGACTCAAAGGCAGGCAGAGGAGTAGGAAGGCTTCAGCTATGCCCTGATTGGTGGCTGCTGGCATGGGGAAGCTGTAGGCAGCTAAGCAGAAGTGGGCATTCTATGTTATGGTTAGGGGGGCATATTTGGCTTTCTCTGGTTGGTCCTAGGGTACAAGCAGGAACTGGAATTAGGGAAGCTGTTATTCATCAAGTCCTGGTCATACTGGGCCAATTGTTAGAGAGGTGTTGTTTAGGTTCCTGGTTTGTCACTAGACATAGCATTCTGACCTCCTACAAGTCTGACTTATAGTAGGCTGGCTTCCTGGGCTGATTGTAGATAAAGGGGTTAGTTTCCTGGGCAGGTTGCTGCAGGCTGAGGGTCAGTGATCTATTTTTATATAAGCTCTGGCCATTGTCCATTTGTATATTCAGTTTCTTAACTTGCTAAAATTTATGAAGCTGGCCAGTGGCAGATCCAGGACTTGAATCAAGGTCCTCTATTTCTAAATCTTATGTCTTTTCCCATATCATAGGCAGGCTGCCTTGAACCCAGGTAAAACCACCATCGATGCTGTCTTTGCCCCAGACCTTGCCTTCATTTTTTTTTTTCAGTGAGTTTGTGTTGTACTCTAAATGTACTTGTCCAGCCTAATTAAAACATGGTATGTTTTTGATGATGCCAACTATATTCTTAAGATACTTAGATCAGAAGATTAAAACCTTCAGTTTTTACCCCAAAGTTTCCTTTCCTTCTCATCATTTACAATATGCAGGGTAGGTGGGAAGGAAGGGGAGTACATTTGCCTCAGGCTCTGGTTCACAGATGACAAAGATGTGGCTTAGTTTGCATAGCATGGCTTGGTCAAAGAGTTCCTAAGAAAATGTTTGGAGGACTGATACAAAGATATGTTTGTAACAGACTGGCCATCCTGGCAGAAACTGGGCTGCACTGAGGGGTGGTTTGTGAGCAGGACACTGGTGTGCTCTCTCTTTTACTATTAGGTGCAGCAGCTAAAGTGGTGGAATTTATAGTAAGCAATTAGTTGCCCATGACTGGATATGTTAAGAAAGACAAGCTTTGGAAGACAATAATATTGTGGAATTATCCAGGCTGACAAACTGCCAAGGGTTGGAGCCCTGAATACAATAGGAAAACCCAGGGAAAAAGCTCTGAGGAGACATCCAGGGATCCATTCATTTTATAATAGAGAGTGCCATAATCAAGTATTAGGAATTACACTGTTCACATTGAACAGGTAATAGAGCTTCAAGAGATGATGTGGAAGAATATTGTCTGGGAAAAGTTCTGTTCTAGGCTTTCAGTGCAATTTCCTAGATTAAAACAAGGAAGGCAATGCAATGATTTATCCTCATGAAGGAGACTGAAGAAGAGGTCTCAAGAACGCATTAACCTGCCTCATTATTAATGAAGGGTGAGTGTTTATGTGATAGTTCTCTATGGGATCCCATGAGAGCTCCTGGTGTTGTATTTGCCCCACCACCACCAATGAAAAGAGCATTTAAACAATTTCCTGGGAGCTGCTCCTTACATATGTTTGCTTTTCAGTCTTTTAGGGAGCAATTGAAATGGAATATTTTTTCTTAGTTATACCCAGAGGTTTCCCACAGAGCAGAAATGAGGGACAGGGAGCCTTCTGTTAATTGTTGGAGTCTCCAGAGAGATTTCCCTTTGTTTAATTGTCTTTTATTTCCCTGGATTCTTTGCACTGCCTCCCTCCTTCCTCTTCTATCCCAGTCCTGGGAAAAGGGTTGCTGTAAGATTTTGATCTTGAAGCTAGAGCCCTGCAATGGTGAATATTGATTGTCCCAAAGGAACCAAAATACTTGAAGGTAAAATTTGATTTGATTTAAAGACAAAGTAGGGGAGAAAAAGCCCAGCGGTGTGGTCAGCCCGTGAATTTTGTTGCAGCCAGTGCTGTCGCTTGTTTCCAGGGCTGTAGCATGTTCTGTACCACAGAGCAGGCCTCTTACCTGCAGCTTCCTCTTAGGTGACTGACAGCGATTTATCACTCTGACTCACCTCAAGCGACAATGACAAGAAAGAAAGTAATGGCAGGGTATTTTGTAACATAAATGTGCTTATCCACCCTGAACGGTATTAGGAATCACAGTCTACTTGCTTGAGTTCCTGTGCGAAGTGGTTCTAATTAGAAGAACTAGGTTTGATTATGGCCAAGAACAGGTGAAATTATGAGAAATGAAGGGCAAGACCGATCTCAGGCGTATCTTCCAGTTGGTAAAGTGACAAAAATCAAATCATTCCAGCATTGTAAAGGATCCCATGTGCTGAACTGTTTTCGGGAATGAGGCAAGGGGTTTAAAGGGCTACCTGTCTTATCTTTGTTTTCTGCTGGGAAATGGAAATGCTATTAAGAGCATTTGTAAAATCTGTTTCATAACCAAAGGAAAACATCTCCCCAAATAAAATGAAATGGTCACAGCCACAGCAGGTTATTCTAGGATTTCCCCTTCATTTATGCTTGAATGCTCCATGGAATCCGAAGGCTCTGGGTGGGGTCAGTTCTCCTTCTCCCCTCAGGAATGCTGCAAGGCAGCCTCCCTATTGTGAGAACTGCTATCAAACTCCTTGAATCTTAACGGTGACGGTGACGAGGGCTCAAAGAGCACATCAGAAGAGAGAGCTTAGGAGAGAAGGCAGATGAGTCCTCACCAGGGACAAAGATCACATTCTTGCCTACAGCATTCCGTTCTGAAGTTCTCCACAGGTTCCCCATTGCTTATCAATGGCAAAACTCACCGTGTTAGGTTCACAGCTTCATTCCCAGTGATCCAATCTACATTTCCCCAGGATTTATCTGTCATCATGACCAACCTCCCTCCTGACCAACCCCAGTATGATCCAAGGGCAGGAGTTTGCCAAAGTAATGCACTCGAGTATTTGTCCTACTGCCCAGCAAACATCCACTGCCCTTGTATCGGTAATAATGTGGAAATAAGCAAAGACCATCCACATGAGAAGGAAAGGCTATTTATTCAGAGCATGCTATAGCAAAGGGAGTCAGCCACTCTCACTGGTGTTTTGACAAAGACTCAAAGGCAGGCAGAAGAGTGGGAAGGCTTCCGCTATGCCTGATTGGAGGCCACTGATGTGGGAAGCTGTAGGTAGCTAACTAGAAGCGGGTATCCTATGCGATGATTAGCAGGGCATATTTGGCTTTCTCTGGTTGGTCCTAAGGTATAAGCCGGGACCAAAATTAGGGAAGCTGTCAGTTATTCATCAAGTCCTGGTCATATTGGGCCAATTGTTACAGAAGTTATTCTTTAGTTTCCTGGATTGTAACTGGAGAGAGCACTCTGACTTTGTTAGTATAACCTACTGCAGGCTGGCTCTCTGGGCTGACTATTGCAGATAGCAGGGGCAGGGTGTGGATAGAGTTCTGCTTTTACATATGATCTGGCCATTGTCCATTTACATATTGCCTCTCAGTAATGAAGGGGAGACAGGGAACACAACCTAAATGGTTCTGGGAAAGGTGTCCTATAGAGAGAAGGCAGCAAGAGAAAGACGTTTCTAGTTTTGCCAGTTACGTCCTCTCGGTCACTATTGGTCATATAACGAGTATTTTAAAAAGGAAATGAATGGAATATGCTACATTTATAAGTGCTATTGCAGATATTTTAACACATTTCATTAAACTAGTAGGTGAAATCAAACATTATTCAAAAGTCTGGTAAAAAGTGGTAAAATTTGCTAGATTGATGAAAAGAATAGGATTTGGGCTGAGTTTAATAACTAGCTTTTCTGATCTGTAACCTTAATACACTGAATATAATTTTTAAAAATCCATAGCAAATCTCTGAAGTGAAGGCTGTGAAAAATCTACACAAAAGCACACATTTATCTAAGTGATACACAACTGGCCACTAGTAAATAGCAGATATATGTTCTCTTCCTTAAAAACGTTAAGACAATATAGAATAGACCATACTATTGTTTGTAAAAATGAATTTATTAAAATGCTCATAATTATAAAAGAATATTAAAATGCACAGAAATTAACATTAATAATTATAAAAGAATATTAAAATGCACAGAAATTAACATTAATTACAAACTTTACATCTTATGCCACAATGTGTGAAAAGCATCATGAATAGTTCTACTTCAGTTAAGCTGCTCATACATTTTTACCCTCTCAAACATAATATGAACATAAAATGGTACAAGAAGTGTTTCAACAAGAGTACATTCTGACCCCCATTGTGAATTAATGTTTTATGAAATTCAAGGCACACATGCAATAAAAAAGGGAAGACTTTGGTGACAGTTTATAAGATGGCCTTGTTTAGTTTTAAAATAAAAATGATAGCTTTCCCTTTCTAATGATATATAGCTAAATTATCTGAGGGATGTTTAATGAAAAATCCCCTGAGTATTTGCTCTAATGTTTCAATATGCTAAAATTCACAGGCATTAAAAAAGGATATAAAGCTCAGTTTCTCTAGTGGTTAACACTGGACAGGCTGAAGGCTAGATTCTCCCTCTTCACAGGTCCACTGCCACACCCATCAATTTCCCCAGGGCTGCTGCCTCTGAAGCCACTTACAGATGCAGCCACCATTGTCTGCAGACACAGCTCCATGCTTTTCTTTATCACTGCAAGTCAGCCGTGGACTCACTAACAAACACTGTGGATGGCATGGGGAAATGACCCTGCATCTCCACTACAACTTTGCTCTTTTGGGCATCTTAACAGTGTCAGATATTACATTTGGTGCCTTTCAATATGTAGAGGGTTTTTTTTCCCCTCCTGTCCACAGCAGCACATTTAATCTATGAAGAGGATTTTCTCTGCTGGGGCTATGAAAACAAATGCACATTTCTTTTAAGTTCTATCATACATACAGGAGATAAGGTAAAAACATTTCCTTTTCTATGCTGACATACATGGCGAGTAACTGCCAAATTTAAACACTAGGAGATAGTCACACACTTCAGAGAAGAGAAGAGGTACTAGAGAGGAAGTGACACCCGCTTCCAGAAGCAGTATCTCAGGAGTGAAGAGAGGAACAGTGGCACTCCCGTCTTGGCTGCGAATGAGAAAGAGTTTCCTTCAGTGGGAAGAAATTCATTTCTCCATCCCAGTGCAGTCAGACTTCATGGGGCCTGTCTTGAACTCTGATTGCATCATTAACACGATCAAGAGAGACAGTGAAATGGGGTCCCGGATCCACTGGGACAATTCAAAAGCCTACAATACTGCTTTGATGGATCCTACATAATTACTTACAAATCATTCATGGCAGGCATTTGAAATCAATCATGACCTAGAGTTACGCTACTTTATTGTAAAAAGCCTCTAAAATCTGAGTTTTCCTTTGCTGCTGGGATTCTGATAGGTTGGCTCCTCTGGTGTTTAACAGCATCCCAGTGAAGCCCATGCAGCATGACCATGATGCAAATCACCTCCCTCTTGTGCACCCAGCAATGACCTGTTACCAGTAGGGGTGAGAGGGCCTGGCTCCCTGTCTTTTCCAGAGCGCCCAGGAGGCCTGACACTTACAAGGCAATAAAGTGAAGTAGACTGCTAGGCTGAGCAAAAGTGAGGGGGCAAGACGTGCATGGCAAGACAGGAGTGCAGCAGGAAGTAATCTCCAGATAATGGTAGGGTTTGTGACCAAACCCTTTTCCTTTATTACTCTTAACTGCCTGATTGGCTCTAGAGGAGGCTAAAAAATCAAATCTAATCTGAGTCTCTTTACTTGATTATGAATAAGCTGGGTATACTCCTGTCTCTAGTACAATCAGACAGTTACATCAAATTACTGGGCCCAGAGTAACAGGATGGAGGATGCAAGGAAGCCACATTCTTTATGGCAGAGACTTTGGTGTGTTGATCACTTTGGCATACAGAAATAAGCCAATTCCTGCAGACTCCTTGACAAAAGGCACTCCCCACCCAATGACCACAATGAGGGCACTTGCTGTTTCTGCCCATGCACACAGTTGTACCCCAATGGCTGTGTAGTGAGCCATTCACAAAGGCAGCTGGTGATGTGTAATACTGCACCTTCTGTATCTAATGAATAAAAGTCAACTGGTAGAAAATTGAGGGGCTTATCTTTTCCAGACAATTATGTTGATAAAAATGTAATTTTAATCATGTGATATCACTGTTTTCCAAGAAACTACACATCTTTAGAAAAGATTAATTATCCAGATCAACATGAGTTAAAATGCTGTTTGAATCTGTAACTTTCCCTGCTTTTGTCATTTTATTCCCTTGAGATCTGCAAAGCAGTCAACATTGATTAGGCACGGAACCTCCTAGGAGTGCTCCTGGAAGATAAAAAGTGTCACTGTGGATTAGGACAAATATGCTTCAAAACCTTGCTATCTTCACTCCAACCTACTAAGAGTATTTTTTTGAGATGGAAAGACATGCTCAAATGAAGACTGAAACTATTTCCTCTGATTAACTGAGGTTTCCTTTCTGGAGGTATTGAAAATACACCTAAATATTGTGAATCCTTGAGTCTAGTTAGCTATTTTTAATCACATGAAAGCTATTAAATTAAATCTATAATGATGGTACTGTAAGGAAAAGATGACCCTGGAACAGATCTAGCCAAGTGAAGAAATGAAACATGGCTTAAAAATAAAGGAGATCATGCGCCTGAGAATAGACAGAAATGAAAATAATCAAACAGAAAAAAAAGAATCCATTCTACTTTAGAAGGGGTGGTTTTTAAGCACACTGAGGGACTTTTTCTGTAAAATTCCAATTTATCAGAAAAAGGTAACATTGAGGTTTTCCGGGTGATAAGTTTTATGCCCTTCATGATCTAAGTTTTACATTTTCCAGTTTCTGCATCGCTAGCTGAAACTGAAAAATAATACATGAGGAAATGGCAATAGTTGAGACTCATATTTGCCAAAGTGATTTAACTTACACATTCTCATTAGTGATTCCTAATATATTTTGACAAAGCTAAATTCCTTAAAGTGCTTCTCAGAACATAAAGCTCTTATTCTGATTTTGGCCGTAAATTGTTATCTACTGCTTCTATCATCCGCTCAGCTATCACCCCCATATTTTTCGTCATATCTTTGAGGTGATTCTCATGAAGAAGCTTTTGGGTTAGGTATTTTTCTCTCTGGATCTTGCTCTTTGTGCGTTTTGATACATCGGGAATTGCATATGAAATGAAAAATTTCACAGAGTAGATGACGTGCTGGGGAAGAGAAGAAGAAAAATGTCACTCACAAAGAAATGGAGGAGAACACCGAGTTCCTTTCATTCTTGCTTGTCATTATGGCAGTTTATCTGGACAAGGCAGTGGACATTTTACACACACAACCAACCGCTAATGCCATTGTGTCTAATCAACAGTGTGGCTCTAGCAGTTACTGTTACTTTACACATTTAAATAATACTATGTGATATGTAGAAAAGTATATATACACACATATAATGGTTATAAAGGATAAAGAAAAAATGAATACCTCAAAAAACCTCCATTAAACTTAAAAACTAGGATGCTGACAATGCTGTTGTATTTTGTGTCTCTTTTTCTAATGGCCTTGCACTTCTCCAAAAGTCAGTGCTATCATATCTGTACAAGTATATGTGTATCATTCTCACTTATTTTTTAAAAAGTTTGACAAAATATGTATATATACCCCCAAAATATAGTCTTCCTTGACTTCACCTTTATGATGCTGCATGCAGTCTTTTGGAAATTGCTGTCTTTCTTTTGGATCAGGTTCTCACTCTGTCACCCAGGCTGGAGTGCAGTGGCATGATCATAGCTCACTGAAGCCTCCTACTCCTGGGCTCAAGTGATCCAGAAGTATGCCACCATGCCTGGCTACTTTTAAAATTTCTTTGTAGAAACAGGGTCTCGCTATGTTGCCCAGGCTGGTCTCAAACTCCTGTCCTCAAGCAATCCTCCCAACTTGGCCTTCCAAAGCGCTAGGATTATAGGTGTGAGCCACCACGCCAGGCCACCTTTTGTTCAAAACTATTTCCTAAGATTGTTATTCTATAAAACTAGTCCACTAATTTTCACTGCTGTATAATATTCTTCTGTGTGACTACACTATAATTTATTTGTTCCCCTATGAACAGGCATTGAGGTTGTTTCCAGTTTTTGTTTTAGGAAAAATGCTGTTGTGAACATTATTGTGCTTGAATCCTAGAGCATTATCTGCAAGTTTCTCAAGAGTGTGGACCTAGGAGTGGGACTGCTGAGACTCTATGTCATGTGAATGTTCCATTTTATAAGATGATACCAAAACATTTTTCAAAGCAGGTATACCAACTTACACTCCCACAGCAGCAATAGTTTCAGTTGCTCTACATCTTCGTATCATCAAACCTTTTTTTTTTTTTTTTTTTTTGAGGCAGAGTCTTGCTGTCACTCAGGCTTGAATGCAGTGGTGCGATCTTGGCCCACTGCAACCTCCATCTTCCGGGTTCAAGCGATTCTCCTGCCTCAGCCACCTGAGTAGCTGGATTACAGGTACCTGCCACCATGCCCGGCTAATTTTGGGTTTTGCCATGTTGCCCAGGCTGGATCAGGCTTTTTTTTTTTTTTTTAAACCAACTTAGTGATTATGAAATGGACTTTCCCTTTGGTCTTACTCTGCATTTTCCTGATTACCAATGAGGTTAAACACCTTTTCATTTTTTAATTTATCAATCAAAAATCTCTGACCTAGCAAGGGGAGAGAGATAATATAAGCATAATTAAAAACAAATTATTCATGGTGTTAAAAAGTGATGAGTACTTTGAAGAGATTCTTCTGTAGATTAGTCTGGATATGCCTAAGTGAGCAAACACTTTAAGGAGGTGAGGGAACAAGCCCTACAGATATCAGAAGAAAAGACATTCTAGGTAAAGGGAATAGCCAATGCAGAGCTGGTTTGGAGGAGCCTCAGAATGCATTCGAGAAAAGGCAAGGATGGTGCGGAGCAGGTGACGAGAAGAGAAGTGATGTCTGAGGGGCACTGGGGCGTGGCTGGATCCATGAGGCCTTGTGTGCCACTGTGAGGACTCTGGCTCTGACTCTGAGTGAGAGAGGAAGGGCAAGCCCAGCTAGGAGACTCTGGCCCTAATCCAGGCAAAAAATGATAGTGGCTCTGACCTGGTGGTAGCAGCACAATTGGTCTGAAGTGCTCACTGATAAAGGAAAAGCCAACCAGATTGGATATAGCATTAGGGTTCCAAGGATTCTGGCCTGAGCAGTGTTGAGATGGAGTTGCCATAATCAAGAGGGAAATACTGTGGATGGGAGAGATTTTGGGCTGGGTTGGGAGGAGAACATTTGGAGTGAATGGAGGAAAATATAGGCATGTGGGGCAGCAGATGTGAGACATCTATTAGGGATCCAAGCAGAAAGGTCAGGTAGGCCGTTGGATTCATGGGTGGAGTTCAGGAGAGGGGTGCTCTGCAAACAGCCATTTTAAGGTCCTTTTAGCATACAGATGGTATTTAGAGCCAGCAGACTCCAGGAGATCATCAACAGACCAAGGAGAGAGAAAAGATGACAACCAAGGGATGAGTCCCAGGATCACTAAGAGAATAAGTGACTGGCATAGAACCTGAGGTGGAATGGCCAGGGACGCAGGAGGAAAGCGTACTTTCCTAGGAGCCCAGTGAGGAGGAGTTTCCAGGGGCAAGTGATGAGGAAAATCTGAAGTCAGATTTTCAGCAAAAATTTGACTCAGATTTTTGCTAAGTCAAATGTTGCTAAGTCAGGTGAGGGGAGGGTTGGGGAAGTGGTGGCTGCTGCTAACTTTGGCAAGAGCAGCTTCAGTGAAGTGGAGGGGGTGAAAGCATGATAGAAAGATAGAGGAATCGAGGACAGCATGTACTGGCAACTCATTCAACGGCGCTGGCCACAAAGAGGAAAAGAGAAGTGAAGCAGGACTGGTGAGGTAAGGATGGAGAGAATTTTGAGATGTGAGAGATATTAGTGTGTTTAGTGATAATGGAAATTATATAGTAAAGCGACAAAGGTTGATGCTGTAGGAAAGAGTTCTTTCATCTATTTCTGAGGTAGGGAATATTTATAGATATGTGGAATTTCTGTGTTATGCCACCCTTGCATTTCCAGCTTAAAGCCTGGTGGCATGATGTTATCTTTTTGAAATATATTGCTAGATTCAGATTTGTACATTTTTAAAAATTTTGCGTAAAGGTATACAACATGATGTTGTAAGACACATGTATGTAGTGAGCCCTCAACATCATCGACAGGTTCCTGGAAACTGCAACTCCAGGTCCTTGAATAACGTCATTTCCTTCAATGCTGTTTCGTTACAGCATTGATTAGAAAAAACACTGGTTTTGTTAGAAGTTGTTGTCTTAAAGTCATGGTTTCCAAGAGCCTAATAAGGATGTTAAGTGAGGACTTACTCTATAGTGGAACAAATTAACATGTCCATCATCTCACTTTACACATCTTAGAAAGATCTTTGCATCTATGTAATGAATAGGGTTGGCTTCATTTTCCTTTCTCTCTTCTTGTCTGATTTTAGGATTTAGGCTACTCTTAGCCTCACCAAATGAGTTGGAGAGTATTTCCTCTTTCTCATCTCTGAAGGCATTTGTATAGGATTGAAATGATCTGTTTTAAAAAGCTTGGTATCACTCCAATAAAAACCACATGGTCTGGTGTTTTCATTGTAGAAATATTTCAAACTTCTGCTGTAATTTAAGGTTTATAGCTACCTTCTTTAGCATTCTGGAGATAGACTACTCTCTTCTGGCTTCCGTTGTTACTGTTGAAAAGCTTACTCCCATTCTCGCCTTAGTTTTCTCTGTTAGTCATCAGTTTTTTCCCTCCGGTTACTTTCAAGGTCTTATTTTTGGTGTGCCGCATTTTCCTTGCAATATGTGTAAGTGGATTTCTTTATTCTGTTTGATGCATGTCATGCTTTCTGATCTGTGAACTCTTTCATTTCTTTTATCCATGTTCAGCTTCTTTAAGTTAGTATTTCTCATTCTTCCATATCACTTAACATCTCTTTCATATTTTCTATTTTCTTATCTCCCTGTGATATATCAGGAGTAATTTTTTCAGACCTATCTTCCAATTCACAAATTCTCTCTTCAGATTTGCATAAACTTCTGTTTAATCCATGTTTTTTTCCATTTCACCAATGATTTTATTTTAATTTCTAGAAGTTCCATTTAGTTTTTTCAAAATTGCCTTATAATTTTTAGTTTCTTGCTTTTTAAATTCTACCCATAATTATTTAAATGTTTTCACATACAGTTAATTTATATTCCTTATCTGACAGTTCAAACAAACCCTTGAGGTTACTGAGGGTCCAAATCAGTTGTTTCCTGCTGAACCTCACACGTTTTTTTGTTTTTTTTTTAAATCACCTCTTGTTATTGACCATCTTTGGTTGTGTGCTCATATTTGATTAGCTTGATCTGAGAAAAACCTGGGGACATTTTTCTCCAGAGAAGATACACACTTCTTTCTACTGAGGCAAATGCAGCCCTGTTTTGGGTCTCTGGCTTATCCAGGAATCTCAAGCTCAGTTTTTCCACCTCCCTTCTGACCCAAGGCATGGTCTCCTTGAGCTCCAAGATAGAGGCACTGATGGGTACCAGCTTGCTCTTTGAGACCTCCAGCACTACAAGAGTGCTTATTGCTCACTGCCCTATTAAAGCCCATCACCTAGGCCGGGCGCAGTGGCTCATGCCTATAATCCTAGCACTTTGGGAGGCCGAGGAGGGCAGATCACTTGAGGTCAGGAGTTTGAGACCAGCCTGGCCAATATGGTGAAACCCCATCTCTACTAAAAATATAAAATTAGCCAGGTGTGGTAGTGTGCACCTGTAGTCCCAGGTACTTGGGAGGCTGAGGCAGGAGAATTGGCTGAACCTGGAGGCAGAGGTTGCAGTGAGCTAAGATCATGGCATCATACTCCAGCCTGGGCAACAGAGTGAGACTCTGTCTTTAAAAAAAAAAAAAAAAAAAAAAAAAAAACCCATCACCTAGTTTTCCCTCTCTCTGTAGATTCTCTTCCCTTCCAGTGGGCTCAGCAATGCAAAGGAATTATCTAGCTGGCTCTAGAAGTTTTGCAGTGGGGATGGTCCACTGCATATGTAAGGACAACATATAATCTACCACAATATCAAAAGGAGAAGGCCAATCACTTCATCAACTACATGTTTAAATAGAAACCTGTGACTCTTGCTGATATGTCAGATACTGACATGAGTCAGATACTAACCGTGAGTTACTTGTCTTCCCTGTTTAATGTTTGGTAGCTATTTAAAAAAAAAAAAAAGAACTAGTATAAGTACCAAAAATCCAGGTAGTCTACCCCACTTCTTCTCTGCTGATTGGTTTTATTCAGAGCAAATGAAATCCACCTGCCTCAGCCCCTCTTGCTGCTAGGAAAACCACATGCTATAGTTCTGGTCAATGAGATGTAGGTGGAAGTCCACTGTAGGGGCTTCTGGCAAAGCATTCTTTCCTGACAAAAAGGACTGGATGTGGTTAGCATCGCCCTTCTTCCTGCTTTGCATGTAATTTTTTAACTGGAATTTCAGCAGCCATAAAGGGGACACATATATGAGAGCAAACCCAAGAATTGGATAGACTGCTTCCATCAGTGAACTGGTATTGATTGATTCAGGAGCAACCACAGACTTTCATGAACTCTATCATATAGGTTGTGGGGAGGGGAATCAACCTTATTTAAGCCACCATAGACTGCATTTTCTGTTTCTTGCAGCTTAATACAATCCTATCTACCATACCAATTAAGCAATTAAACTCTGATACTTTGTAATTTGGCAGTAGTTAACTCACTCTGCATAGGAAGCACAGTTGGCTAGATCAATTACAAATTTATAGTTGCCTTAGTAATTTTTCAGAGCTGGTCAATTTCAAACTCTCCCAGCAATAAAAGTTTCTCACAGGCAGAGATCACATCATCGTACCCATCTTGCATAAGCCCTTTCATAGCCCAACATGCTGCCCAGTGCCCTACATTTTAAAAAGTTAGTAATGAATGAAATTGAATCCCCTTTGCGCATAACATGCTTTTAAACTTTAAAAGCAGATAATGCTCTCGTTAATGAAGTTGAGTATTTTCAGGTCAATACTGATTAACATATTTCCTAAAATATTAGCAAGTGATAAGAAGAAAGTATCACACATGTTAAGTATGGAGTTGGCAACACTTAATGGAAGGTCTGCAAATACACATCCTTATAAACTGTTTGAAAGCATACTTTTCCTACCTCCATGACAATGATAAAAGCCAGCTTGGCTGCAATCACATGCCAATAGTAGATGTTGTGTTTATACTCCTGGGGGTGTCCAGGTGGGTATCGGAAATCACGATACCTGAAAACAAAATGGAGACATATTGGGAGACAAATCTTTTTGACTGAATACTGTAAACAAAGGCCCCATTTAAAAAGAGGTCATGCCGGGTGCAGTGGCTCATGCCTGTAATCCTAGCACTTTGGGAGGCTGAGGCATGTGGATCACTTGAGGCCAGGAGTGCGACACCAGCCTGGCCACTATGGTAAAACCCCGTCTCTACTAAAAATACAAAAATTAGCCAGGTGTGGTAGCACGTGCTTGTAATCGCAGCTATTTGGTGGCTGAGGCATGAGAATTGCTTGAACCCGAGAGGTGAAGGTTGCAGGGAGCTGATATGGTGTCACTGCACTCCTGTCTGGGCAACAGAGCAGGACGCTGTCTCAAAAAAAAAAAAAAAAGTCATATTTGATTCAATGCTCTTTTAAACTGGACATCACATACATTTTCTCTTAAAGCTCAATTTGGTAACAAAGCCCCAAAATAACTACAGTAGTGCCTCATTTAATATTTAATCAGAGAATGATGGTAATAACATGGTCCATCTTTGTAGAAAAGAATCCATCTTTATAAAAGAACTAAAGTTTTAAATTTGTTCTCCCAACATTTATCCCTGTTTTCTCAAAACAATTCCTGTTTTGGGGATCATATTTATAAATTTATTTATATAATGGTATCATCAGGGTTCACTCAGCTATGGGACTCTCTCTCCTCATACAGAGTGCTATCTGCTTGTTATAATTTTTTACCTAATTCTTTGTTGTCAGATATCAAGTGTTAACTGCTGTTAGTGTATCTTCCTCAGGTAGGACATCTCTAATTTTATGCCTGTAAGCTATTAAACCTAGAAGAGTTTAATTTCTGATTAGAATTGTGGAAAGTAAGAATAAGCAGATTTGATGCAGAATTGTAAAGAGGCTCCACTAGGTGTAACACAAACATTTATTTTGGGCTTATTTCTGGTTTCCTGGTTGCATCATTGAGAATCTGAGTTAGTGAAGGCTTTGAGGAGTTGGACTAAATAAACTTTAAAGCCTCCTATTTTAGGTAAAACTCTATGGTCCAGGAAAAAAGGTTGATGACCTACAGTTCACAAACTTTATCAATTGGTAATTTACCTGGTACATACTGTCCACTGTTGAACTCACCAGCCATTAAAATCGATGCAGAGAACTTTGGAATATTTTTAGATAATACTGTTCAGCTGAGATTTCACATCTCTTATCTTTGTATGTCCCTGTTATGTGAGGTGCTAGTTTGCCATCATTCAATATCTTCAGATTGTGCTTGAATAACACAATAGTATTAACAACTGAATTATCTTGGTTCTTGGACCTCTTGAAGTTTCTCTATTTCTATGACTTTTCTTTGGAATCAATCTCCCTGTAATCGTTTGAAACTCTCAACTTTAAATCTTTATGGTTTGGTCTGAAAGTTTTACCCCTGGTCTGAAAGTTTTACCCCTAGTCTTCATTAACTTTTTAATAAATATACATATATATACATTTTCTGAGTTTCACTCAAGAGAAAGCTATGGGGAAAAAATGTCTCTAGCAGCTTGATTTAAATGACACCAAAGCACCTGATTGATCCTGAAGTTATAAAGAAATAAAAATTTTAAAAATGACACCAAACAGAATTAAGTCACAAGAAAAACCCTTTTAAAGATGAAGTGCATTTTTAAACAAGTAAAGCAGAACTTGCCTGCATGTGGTATGGTTACCCAGGTCAGAGTACGGGTTTCCCTTGCTTTTGTTTTTGAAGTCTGCGACTTTGAAGATGGAGAGAGTGTTGTTGATGTACCCTTCCATGGTGTAGGAAGTGTGGTCCCCGTAGGGAGGGACGGAGAAGGACCAGTAGTACACTAGGCGGGGGATCATGTCCGACGTGAAAGCTATGATCATGGCCTATTTTGGGAGAAAAACAAAGCGAAAATGAAGTTATAGTTTTTTGTTTTTGAGACGGAGTCTCGCTCTTGCTGCCCAGGCTGCATGGCACGATCTCGGCTCACTGCAACCTCCACCTCTTGGGTTCAAAAAATTCTCCTGCCTCAGCCTCCTGAGTAGCTGGGATTACAGGCACGTGCCACCACGCCTGGCTAATTTTTGTACTTTTAGTAGAGACAGGGTTTTGTCATGTTGGCCAGGCTGGTCTTGAACTCCTGGTCTCGAACTCCTGGTCTCAGGTGATCTGCCCACCTCAGCCTCCCAAAGTGCTGGGATTACAGGCGTGAGCCACTGCACCTGGCCGAAGTTATAGTTTGTATAGGTCAGGTTAACAAATATGCCAGAATTACTATTTTCATCGTGTCAATTTTTTTTAAAGATTCAGAAATCTTAATTTTTTCTTAACTGCAAAATATATGCAGATAGTGAGATAAGATCTTGCTCTGTTGCCCAGGCTGGAGTGCACTGGCATGATCACAGCTCACTGTAACCTCGAACTCCTTGGTTCAAGTGATCCTCCTGAGTAGCTAGAATTACAGGTACACTCCACCATGCCTGGCTAATCTTTAAACATTTTTTGTAGAGATAGGGTCTTACTATGTTGTCTAGCCTAGTCTGGAACTCCTGGCCTCAAGCAATCCTCTCAGCCTCTCCAAGTGCTGGGATTATAGGTACGAGCCACTGATCTCAGCCTAGAAGACTTGCACATGTAATCAGAGTCAACATTATGAAAATAATTGAGCTTTATATAATTGATTTAGCTCTTTTCATAAACACAGAAGGTAAACTGCATGTTTTCCTTGATCTAAATTTAAATAATGACCTCTAAGTTCACTTTTTTCCTGTATAGTATTATGACTTGTTTACACAAGTCAAACCATGACCTGATTTGTTTTAAACTCTCAGTACATGGTTATGTTTGTTGCTTCATTATAGAGTGTGAGCATTTATTAATTTTAACAAAATTTGGGTAGTAGAATTATATTGGGGTTGTCCCATTCATAGTCAAACAATAATGTCTGTTTAGTCTGATCTAGTATCTAAGTCTCTAAACTTCAAAAAGATTAAGTGGATGAAGTTATGAAAATTATAAGTTGAACAACAACATACAGAAAATTTAGTATGTTCCTAGATAAAAGGAGTAAATATGGGCCAATCATAAACCTGTGTATCAGAGAGACATCTATTAGGAGGTAAAGCTATTCTGAATTATATGAATTTTCTCTAAAATTCTTTAATTTGGGCTTTAAACTCTCCAGTGTGTAAAACTGGTTGGAAGGAAGGAGAAAGGATTTTTACTTTAAACCAAATTCTATGTGAATAAAACAGCTAAATGATTGTCATTGATGAAGCAGAAAAGTAGACATGTTTTTGGCTTAACATGATTTTTAATAGTATTCATCTGAACATATGGTTTAGGCATAGTGAGACCACAAACCAAATCTCAGGCAAAGCAAGAAAAAACAATTAGGGGGCTTTTCTATTACAAAATTTCCCTCACTAGAACCAGCTTTGTCATTTCCTCTGATGTGAAAAATGTACATATACATATGAGTGTGTTTCTGCCTGTCAGTACTGGGGAGCCACACGAATATTTTACCTTTTTTCCCTCAGATTTCAATAGATTAAATTTTGCTATTATCATTTAACTCAACTATATCTTTTTATAGAATCACTGGCAGATGTGCATCAGAAGCTACAAAAAATTCCAACAAGGAAGATAATTCTATTGTCTTCTGACAAGATACTTTTCTTCCTGAATTGAGCTGCTCTGAGAGACATGCTGCAAGAGCACAAATAAATGCAGTGTGTTTCATTTCCCATGCTGTTCTGCACACAGTTTTCCATTTATATAAAAATAAATTAAAATTGGTCTTCAATAACAGATGCTCTGGCATGATACAACAATGTCAATTCAGCTTATTTATTGAACCAGCAGCTTTAAAATGAATGATTTTATACCAAATTCCTGCTTGATGCCCACTCTCATCCTGGTGGTTATTCTCTTTTTGTAGACAGTAGGTTGTGAGATACACACTGGGTGTTTGAGGGAATAAGACACACATTTAATGCTTGCACAAGCACACATATAAACATAGATGTCTATGTATGTGGATGTATAACTGCCATCTTGGAAGTATAACAAATCCTAATATGGAAAAAGGGATTGCCCATAGTTTAATCAATGTCACAAATCTAATAAGCAGTTTTCCTAGGTTAAGTGATAAGAAAAAGCCATTATTGGATAAGAACCAATAGCACCAATTAGCCAGAGTGAATGTCTGTACACATACACACACTGAGTCGCCTTGGAAACAGCCAATCCTCCATCTGTGCTCATGGAGTAGAGCCATGGCATGGATGCTGGGAAAAGGTACCTAATACAATCAATCTAGAATGCTTGAGGAATAGGGAGAGTTTGAGTCAACTGAATTTTCTGGTTAGTTGAAGGTAAAATAAAAACCCTTTTAGTTTCAAACTTTGTTGCTGAAAATTTTCTTAAAGCACACAAGTCCATGTTCTTGTCCAGCTTAGTGTACTAGAGCATATTGAACGTGCTGTCATGTTCATTGTTTTATGACTGAGGAACTTGAAAGGCCTCACTGCCATTTTTCTAAACAGCAGTCTTCATTTTGCAGCACAGTAGATGTTGAAGGTGTGGGGTACCTGGGTGAAAGGAAACTGACATACCCCAGTAGTTGGTTTTTGTGTGCGATTTGCAACTTTCTCCAAATAGTACAGATAGCATGCAATTCAGATAAATGTACGGTTCTGGGGTAGGGATGACAGCTAGGTTCCAGATAACTTGTTTTATTGTATAAAACTGTAACCATTGTCCAGACAGTGGTTGCTTTTGGAATTCCTGTGCCTCCAATTGGGGTACCTGTCAGAGTCCTCACAGCGTTACTGTTAATAACAATGATGAGTAATGAAGATGATAAAATAACAGCAGCTAACATTCAATAGAAACGAGGCTTCATGCATTAACTCAATGAATTCCCTAACACTGTGGTTGGTATGTACTATTCTTATGATATGTGGTAGGGAATTAATAATTTTACAAATAATAAAATAGGGCTCTGGAGTGGTAAGGCCTGGCTCAAGATCATGCAGCTCAGAGCTACAGTGCTGGGAAGTGGAGTTCGGGTCTACCTGACTCTAGAGCCTACAGTGCTCAGTAACTTCCCTCATCCAGAGCCTAAACTACAGGCACTGCCAACTTCTGTTGTTTTGGCTGGGGACTCAGGGAAGATGTGGCTTAAGAAAACAAAACTGGGGAATCACTTTGTTAGGGAGGTTCACCTGGGAGTGAGACTGTCAGTGAAATATGGGAGGAAATGGCCCTAGTTTTGGGATACTTCTTGGGAAGGTGGTCCTCTAATGGGCTGGCATGAAAATTGCATTGCCTGAGAACTTCCTGTGTGCCTGTACATAAAAATGACACTGTTCAGATGGCCCATAATCAATGAATACAGGCTGTAAACAACTGAGTTCTGTCCCCTCACAGCTGGGATACATACAGGGCATGAGGCTGCTTCAGCCAATGACCAAAGCATGGTGAGCAAAGACCTAAGGGTGGGGTGGGAAGGGTGATGAAACCCACCCACCTTCCTCCTTTAAGAGCTGCTGCTCTGGAGTCAAGGAAGGTAATTAGGAGTGCACAAAGTGTTTATACTTCACCATCAGAGTCAATATTTTAGGGTGATGCTTTGGAATATGTAGTAGTAAAATATGGTAGAATGATCTTATTTTAGGGCCCTCAAACTCTAAATGAACAGATTTCTACCCACATTATAAAAAAAACATTTTCTGATAACTCCTTTTATAGTTATGTGAGGATTAAAAGTGTTAGTACTTCTTATCATTACCATATTTCATACTGAATAAAAACTTTAGCAAATGAGCAATAACAGTACCTGTATAGGAGGTCTTGACAGTTAAAAATAATTATATACAAAATGAAAATACATTTAACAAGTGGTTATATATAGCAACTATATCATTTATGTGGATGACAGACTTAGCATCTTCCTCTCATTTTAAAAAACACTAAACATTTGATTCCTTAGGTAGCAAATCTAATGCATCTTCAAGGTCTTTACTCTGTAAAGCTTAGGTCTACTCACATTGGTCACCACAGCCAGAATTGCTATTCCTTGCATGATGGGCTGCCATGCTCCAATGTCTTGGGCTTTCTCTGGTACCAGGCGTCTAAACTGGGTGGTCAGTTTCCATGCGTCCACTCTTATTTCCAATATATTGTTCACGAGAGCCAACAGAGGGGCCAGTGGAAAAGAGGCCACAAATAAGGTGACGAACCCAAACTGAATAACTGTCAATGGAATGGACACACATCATGGAGTGGTGGTGGATGGAAGGACAACATATTTTCCTTTACTCTTGAAAGAGAAAGGCAAACGAACTAAATCCCAGAGAGAAAACACATCTGTGGTAAATAATAATTTAGTGTTCAACAGTGAAAGAATTCAAACAAAACACAAATATAAAATCTCTGGAAAGAAGATTAATTATAGCCTGTTTCTTTCACATGTATACACTTAATAGGAACAATATATTTAGACATCTTTAGTCAACCAGAATTATTCGCTGGTAATAAACTTGAGACATCATAAGCATATTATTCATTCTCAGTGTTGAAATAGAATGTTGAAAGAAGATTTGTGGTTTAGGATTTTTTTTTTAAGAAAAAAGAAATATTGTGGCATTATCTAACAAGTTAAAGACAAAAAGAAATGGACCCATGGGAAGGCTATACTTAGAGAACGTTAGAAGAAATATGCTGAGAACAAGCAAATGAGTGAGCTCCCCTGAGTCTGCAAATGCAAATGCAGTGCATTCAGAGAATTTGACAGTAATAGAAATCACAGAAATATATGTGATAAAAGTGTCTTAATAAATTATAATATCCTTCCTTAAGAATCTTGAAGTTAGTTGCAGTCCTTGTGGTCATAATAAGTCAAAATTTGAGTGGTGGCTTAGAAGTTCTTTTCTCCTTGTTTGTAATTGACACGGCCTTATTAAAAATGGGGCAGCAGAGATTTTGGGGTAAGTGATACCACGGAGAGGAAGAAGTAAGAAAATATCCTCAAGTTTTAGACCCTGCCCTCCTAACTGGCAGACCTTCAGAGGAAACATCTACAGATATGTAACTAAAACTGTGGATGGGAGGAAAACATAGAGTTCCATTAGGCCTCATGCTCAGACAAGGGGCAGGGATGACTCTGTCAGGAAGGGCAAGGCTGTGGAGGGTGTGGCGAGGCAAGCAGAGCTGGCATTTGCTTCTGGTCAGAGAGCCAAAGGGCATGTTGCAGAAGAGCAGACAGGGCTAGAAGGATCCAGTAAGTCCCACAGGCCAGGCAGGAACACTCATGCAGAGAAGTCAGCCAGGCAAGGACCAGAGTTGGTGATGCTACAGAGTCATGAGCAGCAGCAATAAGCAGTGATGTCAACTTCCCTATGACTCACCCAACCCTAAATAACTCATCAGCCCGCAGGGCATGCAAGTAATAGCCATGTGTGGAGTCAGCCCGTCAACTGTGGTAAACTAGCAAGCGTGTGTCCTATGGAAAGGGACAGCTCATAGTTGCCATGTTGGAATGAGGGCTCCATGTTGCCAGATCTCCTGATTGTTCAAGAGAAGCCAGAGATTAGGATTATGTTATCAGTAAACCTTGTTAAAAATCCAAAAGAGAAAAGATACCATTTATAATGACAACAAAAGCATAAACTATTTAGAAATAAATTAATGAGAAAACTAAGACCACTATGATAATTGACTTAAGAAAAAACAAATAATGATGAATGAATGAGTGGTAGGATGTGCCAAACTCTTGATTGGGCAAACTTGAATTCAGGGACATATCAAATTTTTTTTCCACAAAATAATTTAGAATTCTAATGTAAATTCTGTTAGTAATCCCAAATGGATTTAAGAAAAAAAAGCTGACAGGTCAGCCAGGCATGGCAGCTAATCTCTGTAATCCCAGCACTTTGGGAGGCTGAGGCGGGAGGATTATTTGAGCCCAGGAGTTTGAGACCAGCCTAGGCAACATACCCTGTCTCTACAAAAAATACAAAAATTAGCTGGGCATGGTGGTACGAGCCTGTAGTCTCAGCTACCCAGGAGGATGAGGTGGGAGGATTGCTTTAGATGAGGAGGCGGAGGTTGCAGTGAGCCGGGATTGTGCCACTGCACTCCAGCCTGGGCAACAGGGCGAGACCCTGTCTTTCAAAGAAAGAAAAGAAAAGCTGAAAAGTGATACTAAAGTTCTTCAAGAAATATAAACAGGTAAAATAATGAACAGGGATGTTTGCATAGACAGTATTGGGAACATTGTGAAAAAATAAAATGGGATAGCTCTGGGAGATATTGAGTGTATTATAATGCTATGGTAATTGAAACAGTTTAGAACTAGTATATGAATAGATAGTATGAATTAACCAGGGTGAATTTTAAGAGGAGATGCAAATATTCATGGGTTTTTATATATTATAAAGTGATACTTTGAAGCAGTGGATGCAAGTATTGACACAGCTAGCTAAGTCATGGGAAAAATTGGTATGGGGCCATCACTTCTGACACCAAAATAAATTCCAGATGGATTAAAAATATTATATTAAAAATAAAACACCAGAAAAAGCCCATATAATTTGTTCTGATATTCAAGTGAGAAAAATTTTATAAGCAACTTTTGAAACCAAGAATAACAACAACAAAAAGTCAACGCAAAACACCCACTGAAAAAAAAACAACCCTTGCCTGCAACTTTTTCATAATCCTATACTGCTCTCTAATGCTTTCTCTGCTTGCTTCTACATGTTACAGTTGAGTTTTCTGAAGGAAGTGTCCACCTTCACAACAAGTGGTAGAGTAACTACTCCCTGAAGCCCCGCATCCTGCTGAGACCCTCACCACTGCACTGGACCTACTCTTGCTAACTTTGCCAGTGGCTGCATGTTCATAAGCTGATGTTCCTTTTCAGTCCTGATTTTTGTGATTTCTTGTAACATGGCCATAAGAAATGTACGGCCAAGATTTATGTGACATGGTCAAACAGTCCCCCTGCTGTGGAATATTTGTTTCCCCTTGATTTCTTTTTTACTTAGTTTTAAAAAGTCAAAATATATATTGAAAAACAAAAAAACTAAAAAAGCCCTACCTAGCTATAGCACTGCTTCCACTTCCCAACCCAGGTCTAGCAATTAGGACTTGTGTAGGTGCTGGCTCTTCCTTTCTTCCCCCTCTGTATTTCCCATTATGCCCCTTTTCCATCATGTCCAAATTCCTCTGAAGCAACGTTATCATCTCCCAAGCCTTCTCTGTGTTGACACAACTCTGCTAGACTTCTTCCCACTGCTCTGCTCTTCTTTTTCTTTGTGAGCCTCCCTCACTCTTCACTCTTCAAATGTCCCTTTACCCCCGGGCCTCATCATCAATTCTCTGTCCATCTCTCTTGATATTCCTGCTAGGCATGCCTGATTCACCCTCGTGGCCTCACCCATGGCTCCTCTGAGCTCCTGACTGTTGTGTCCAACTTTCTAATGGACATTGCCTTTCAGATGTTTTCATGCTAAAAATATCCAACACTTAGGCATTTCCTAGAGAACAGCTCCTCTCCTTATGTTCTGCCCTGCATATATGGTCTCCTGGAAGTTATCTTAATTTTATTCCTCATCTGCTATGCAATTCACCGCTTTAACACTTACCAAATCCATCTCCCTCTCTCTACTCCTATGCCCACTATTTAGGCACCTATCACTTGTTGTCTGGGTTACCTGCTGTAGCCTCCTAAATCATCTCCCTCCCACCACGAATCTCATCCAAAATATTATCTTCCATTCTGCTGCGTGATTGATCTTATTCCACATAAATGTTATGCAGTTATCTTGTTTACAAATATTCCAGTGGATCCTAATTTCTTTAAGAATAAAGTTCAAGTCCTCAGGCTAAGCACACCAGACCCATCATGATATGGCCCCTGCCTACCTGATATTCCCACCTGTGAGTCCTTTGTTCACTTGCCATTCTTTGATCAAGCTATTGTACTTTTAAATATGTCCACCTCTCCACACAAAATGTCCATTCTCTTCACCATACTTTAGATAACTAACTTCCATTCACCCTTCAAAATCCAGTTCAAATATCACCTGCTCAAGGAAGTCTGATTAGCATTCTCCTTAACCATGCACCAAGCGCTGAGCTCCGTGAGGGGAGGGACCAAGTGCCCTGGTATCCCCAGCAACTGAGAGTGTTTGGCACAGCAAGTGCTTAATAAATGTTTAATGGATGAATGAGTGAATGAATGAATGAACAAATGAAGAGCTGGAGGACTGCAAATCCTCCCAATTACCTAGTTGCCCTTTTGGAAAGCTCATCCTGCAAAGGTTAGGAGACTTCATGGCAGGTGATGGGCTCGAACCAAGCAGAGATGAGAGCATGAAGGGAAGAAGGCCTGAGTCCTGGAGAGTGCAGCAGAGGCATCGGTGGGTTCAGCATAGGAGGAAGAAAAAGAAAGGGGTACGAGGAGCTGCTGAAGAATAGCTGATCTTCATTACATGGAGAAAATCATATATGAAGGTCATTGTTTTAGCAGATTTTAAAAAATTAACTTGGAGACAGATGAAAGTGAGATCAAGGTACCACGGCAAGGGTGGAAGAGGCAGTGCCAGAGACAAACAGGGCCCACTCATCACTTCAGTGCACTCTGTTTATGGCACTTGCCCACCAGGAAGGCCTCATCAAGTTCTCAGGACACCTGTGTCTGCAGTACATTACTGAGTACAAAACAGTATTTATGGCTTCCAGGTTTGAATACAGACAACTACGTTTATTATGTTCTGTGTCTGTGTACTTGGAGTCAGGAACACTCTTAGAGAAGCAATTTGGGTTAACAGCTCAGAGTTACTCCAATAATCTCAAAGGATGGTGGGAAATTCACTAAATAAAAAACGTTTCACTCAAACAGGTCATACAGAACTTGGTGAGAAGTGGGTGAAGGATGTTAATGTGAAATCAACTAACAGTTTTATATGTGTGTTGGAGCTCCAAGTTCAAGTTGCTTAAATGTTTATGAGTATAAGGTTCCAGGCACTGGCGCTCTAGCAGAGGACGCAGTAGCTGCCTCCATCGGGCTCGGTGCAATGGGGAGAGAGGCAGGCACAGAGCGTATACCACCACGGCAGGCAGCAGGTGCTGCTAACACCTAGAAGAAAAGAGCAGCAAAGCTGTCTGAAAAGTTCAGGGGCCCAGCTGAGGCTCAGCAGGACTTGTCAGGTAGGAAAGAAGGAAAGAGAGTTGAGCCTGGGTGCAAGGCCAAGCAAGCCTGGAGGCTTGCTTTCCGGAAGATGTTTCCCTTAAGCAGTTAGAGCCACAATTTAAAAGGTAGATGGTGGTGTTGTTAAGGAATATGGGGAAATGGGAAGGAGGGGACTGTGTGGTGGTGAGACCAATACCAAAGGCACTCAATGTTTATTTCTAGGGAAATGAAAACAATTCAAAAGGCACTTGGAAATTATGTCTCTCACAGACTAGAAGGACAAAACACAGATTTCACTCTCCTGTTGCCCACACAGTGACAGACTGCCTACTCCCAGAAATTCAGAAATCAAGTTTTCTAAGTCATTAGATACTATTTAGATAACAGGAAAACAACCTAATAAACCTAAAAATCTGTCTATAACAGCTGTTATTCTATACTTTCTTGTAGGGCAGGATGAGGCAGAATTATTTGGTTGATAACTATTTTAAAGAGCCTATGAAACTCTAAAAGTCCTATCAACTTCTCCCCAAAGCACATGACCATATAACTTTCCCTTCTGATGTCATTTATTTGACTAATCAACTACAGAAAAATAACTTTTTAAAAATAATAAATGACATTCTGCCCCAGGATTTTTAAAAATGCTGTTAATAGTTCCAATAAGAAATATTTACAATTATGACTCATTTTTGAACAACAGGTAATTGTCTTACAGTCCTTCTGAAAATCAGCAGAATAATAACTAACTAAGGACAGCTTCTACATATGTACTGCAGCTACACCCTTAATAAAACCTGGTCACAAAACATAACAAAGCAAAAATGAAATTCAAAACAGGCTCCAGGCTGCTGCAAAGTACTGTTGACTAAAGAAGCCACAAGATGAACCTTTTACTCATTGAAGGAAGCAGATGTGTTTCCATGTATAATGTATATTTTTAAAAGCAATTATTTTATATATAGAATGTGATTTAATAAAAACCACCTTCTAACTGCAGACTTGTAAACAGGAACCACAAAGGGGTGTCTTTGCCAACATGCAAAGCCCTGTGCATAAATGCAAAGCCTGTCAACAAAAATGATGTGTTTCTTTTTCTATTCTCCTAAGCTTAAAAAAAACTGTAATTGAATGCAATGGTTAGCTGAAAGGGCACAGATAAAAACCATGTAAATTGTTAGCCATCTATTAGATATAAGCGTGTCATGCATAATACAAAAGGTGGTGTTTCCTATGGAAATCTATTTTGAGATGCTTCCGTTTAAAGGCAACTGAGAGGTCAAAATCAAGTTCTACTGAAAAGAATTAAGAGTCCAAGCAAATAATATAAAAATGGACCAAGGCATTTAGGAAAGAGAGGACCTGTGCTAAATCTTAATTCCAGACCAGCACAATGGTTCCAAATTCAGGCCAGTTATGAGCCATGAAGTCACTCAAGGAACCAGGCAGAAACCACTGGCCAGAAGAAATAGGCTGTCAAAGGCAGGCATGAGATGTGAAAGTGGGCATCCCGGGACCATTCCTGCCACGAAGCTGCATGCTCCTGCAGGCTTGCTTAACTGACTCAGTTCAGAACTGTATCGGCCAACAGCTGTGCCTGCACGGACTCCAGGCCAAGCTGAATCACATCTAATTACAGTTGCTGAGTTCATTCTCAGACAACATGATTAGAATGCTTTAAGAATTCGTGGTAAAGATGGCCGGGCCCAGTGGCTTATGCGTGTAATCCCAGCACTTTGGAAGGCTAAGGTGGGTGGATCATTTGAGCCCAGGAGTTTGAGACTAGCCTGGACAACATGGTGAAACCCTGTCAGTACTAAAAGTCCAAAAATAAGCTGGGTGTGGTGGCGCATGCCTGTAATCCCGGCTACTCAGGAGGCTGAGGCAGGAGAATTGCTTGAACCTGGGAGGTGGAGGTTGCAGTGAGCCACGATTGTACCACCACACTCCAGCCTGGGCTACAGAGTGAGACTCTGTCTCAAAAAAAACAAACAAAAAGAATTAATGGTAAAGATGTACCTCAATGAATATTCCATTTCATTGCCCAGTAATAAATTTCTAGCTTTTTACAACATAAATATTGACAAAGACATACATGACCACCTTATCTGAAAGCTGGATTGTATAATTTTATCTAGTGGAGAAAAACATACTCTTCTTCATTTCAATATGCTAAATGTTAATATGGCTCAATAACAGATGCTTTTGGTATCCACAACATACTCTAACATGTTTTATATCACTAAAAACTTCACTAACAACTTACTCATTTCAAGATATTCATAAAATAATCCCAGTTTGCCCATAGGCTGCAGATGGTAGTCCTGTTCCCATCGTGGGGTTATCTTTTCTGATCCAGAAACTCTGTGAAATCGCCCAATTAGATTCATGATCCAGCTGCCAAAAAGAACAATTTATAAATTAGAACGAATATTATCAGGCCAAGGTCATAAAAATATTTTGCTGCTATCTCAAAGCTGCACAAGTAATCTTCCCAATAAACTATTTTTTTGTTTGCATGCTAAATTTGTTTTTATTTCTGCCTCCTTATTCCAAAATATTTTGAAAAATAGGACTACACACCAGGGTTTACCAAAGCTGCAGCTGCTACTATTTTTTTCTCCTACTTTTTCCCTATGGGCAGCTTAATTTTTAAAAGGCATGTTCCTTTATTTGATTAACTTCAGTTGTTTGTTTTTTCATTTCCCCCTTATCATTCAAAATAGTCTTGCCAGTATGAAAATCAACAGAGAAAACAAGGTAGAGTATGTGAGCTGGTGGTAAGTGCTGTGGAGAAAACTAAGCAGGGCAGGGAGTGCTTGCATTTGTGTCTAGGGAGGTGGCCAGTGAAGGTCTCCTTCAGAATGATGTTGAATAAGGATGTGAAGGAGACAAAGGAGTGGGAAACCTGGGGGAAGAAGTCCCAGGCAGAGGGAACGGTGATGACAGAGACCCTGAGGCAGGAGCAGGTCTCCATGGTTCACAGACAGCACGCAGGGTAGGAATAAGAGACCACTGTCAGGATCTGGGCATTTTTTTCCTCGGAGGGAAATGAGGAGCCATTGGAGGGCACCAAGTAGGAAAGTGACATAATCTGACTTTAGATAAAATAGGTCCAATTCCTATTTTAAGCTGAATCATTTAAGGACCAGAGGAGTGAAACGCCTCCTCCAGGTCATAGTGCAGAGCTAGGAGAAAACAGCCTGGACTGCGTCCCAGCGCTCTGTCCACCCGTGGATACTGCCCCGCTGAGCTACCCACTGTCTCTTTTTTATGTCATGTTTTTTTCCCTATCTCAGAATCCTTGTGGCTAAGTGCTTCCCCCCTTTTTATGGCAATTTGTCTGGAAAAGAAATCTGAGTTGGCAGTAAAATGAGGTGTGCACCTGTGGCATAGAGAACTGTTGTCCCCTCAAGCAACTGCCAGCTTGTGGTTTACCTGTGGAGTCATCAGAAGAGGCATAACAACAACTCCAAATACAGATCTAACATCTGGATACACTGGCTGATTAAACATGTGGGTGTGGACTTCAAACTCTGACAATGAGAAGGCATCGCATGATGGTTAAGGACAGTTATTGCAAGAAAACCAGGCAGACCCTCATCCTCTCCATCACATGTGCACACGTGCACACCCAGCCAGCATAAGACAGGCAGTACAAACGGCTCACTCTGCTGGGTTTCCCACTGCTATTGATCTCAGGGCTCACTTTTCACTGACTGCTACTGAAGCTTTACTCAGGGGAAATTATCTCTACTACAGGAGACGTCTCTGACCTCACAATCTTTCCCCACTTCTTTCTTTTTGATGATGTTAGAGAGGCAGCAGGAGGCTGTGGAAAGTGGATGGGATATGAGTTCAGACACCCCTGAATCTGAATCCACACTCTATTTCTTAGCTGGTTAACTTTGGTAAAAAAATAAAACGGGGTGATAAAACCTACATTGCCCAGGGCTGCTGTCAGGATTAAATGATTCAAAATAGGTAACGGATGTAGCACGTTTCCTAACACATCAAAACCTGCTGAATGGGATTTTCTGTTGAGCAATACAGGCTGCACTGGCTGAGGCCAAGTGTAAATATGGCCTATATTACGTAGACTCTTGGCTCAGTTATCCAGGCCACCTGGATCAGTGGTTCCCACTTCAGCACATACAAGCATGACATGGAATGCTTGTGAGTAGTGCAGCTTCCTGTGCTCCCAACTAAAAGGTCTGAGATAAGCTCCAGAATCTGCAGTTTTGCAGTCATTCCGGGGGGGGGGGGGGGGGTGACTCAGGTAGCACCAAGGACCACACATGTCCATCACCCTTCATGACACCGAACTCTAAGGTCACTGGGTGTGGTTTCTATTTGTTTATACTTTGCTTTGCCTCCCAAACTTCTAGCCTCCGCCTCTTGCTGAATCCTTTCCATGCCCTCAGAGAAGCAGGTCTTTTTCTGTCTGGGCTCTAAATCACATCAAAGCTCAGATTCAGGATGAAACTTCTGTCCTGGCAACTACTTGTGTCAGCTGGCGCTTCCGTCTCATATCAGGTCATCTTAGAAGTCTTTCTTACTAGCTTTCATTTCTGAGTTACAGATGCTGAGCCTCTTGTTTGGTTTTCCTGAGTTGAACCACTCATGTTTGGGTTTTCTATTGGTCTGTGTTTCTAGTGCAGGGAGCTCAATCTTGACTTCACATGAGAATCACCCACAGAACTTTTAGAAAAATATACACACCAGATACGTTTTCCCTGGCCAAGGCTAGAAGCAGGGGTTACAAAATAATTTCCATAGGAATTTACCATGTGTATTGTCATAGCCACATCATAAGTTATGCTTTACTAGGTCCTTATTTTGTACAAAACATGGTGAGAAGCACTTTACATCTCACTTCCTCTTCAACTCCATTATCACATTTAATCCACATAATGGAGATGATCATCATTTCTGTTTAGGACGTTCTACAGTATTCCCACTTGCTAATTTTGAAATACAAGCATCCTTCACTATCTGAATCTATTTTATGTGTCAGTTTACTGTTTCTGAACCTAGAGAGTAAGTGTGGATAGTGAGGGACACCTATATTTAGGACTCTGATTGCCTATAGCTCATCTTCTCTCCAAATCCTATCCTGAGAAGGGACATTTTCTCCTAAAACAGTTCTTTTTTCTTATTATATAAATAAGTATACTTATTTATATAAGAAGAGGCGTTTATGTTACAATATACATGTATAAATGTATATAAAGGAAAATTATAGCTATCTACTAAATACCAAACAATTGATACTACAGACATTTTGGATCCTTAATTCTATTATCTCTGACATTTTGTTATAAAAATTTCTCCAGAGTGAGTTAACACAGGAATTATACTAGCCTTTTATTAAGAACAGAATAAAATCCCCAGGAATACCTTAAATATCAAAACACTAAGGTGGAGCTGGGAAGGCCAAAGGGCTCTGAGCTTGCTCTCCGGGTCTCACTGACAACTCTGTAATTTACTGATGTGATGTATCTGAAGCATACAAGGCACTTATTCATTCACTCAGCTGCTTCATACTGAGTCCCTGTCATATGCCAGGTACTGGGGAGGCCCCAAAAGGAACCTGGATCCCTGAGCCAGATATGCTCCTTTCCTTGTTGCAAGAATCCTAGTCAAGGGGTATGGGCCCAAAGGCGGGAGAGGAAGGAAGGAAGAGGAGGGTACATGTGTGGTGAAACATTTCTCCATGTTTCTCTTGACACACTTACACGATGTGAAAACAACTGCTGACTTATAAGGCTTTTCTCTATCTATTTTTGGGGGGTGGGTATAGTTTTGGATAGAAAGGATAACTGATATATCTTTTTTTTTTCTTCGAGATGGAGTTTCGCTCTTGTTGCCTAGGCTGGAGTGCAATGGTGCGATCTCGGCTCACTGCAACCTCCGCCTCCAGGTTCAAGCAATTCTCCTGCCTCAGCCTCCTGAGTAGCTGGGATTACAGGCATGCACCAAATGTCTGGCTAATTTTGTATTTTCAGTAGAGATGGGGTTTCTCCATGTTGGTCAGGCTGGTCTCGAACTCCCGACCTCAGGTGATCTGACCACCTTGGCCTCCCAAAGTGCTGGGATTACCAGTGTGAACCACAGCACCTGGCTGATATATCTTTGATAAATTAGGACTTTGTATAAAAAAGTTAAGAAAACTGGCACCTACACAAAGAGAAGCAGCACCAGTCACTCTCTAATTTGGCTAACACTCAGCATTCTCAGTTTTCAAACAAGAAAACATAGGGGGAGAAATTTGAAGGCAAAGTTCATATCACTGTAATTTTCAACAATGAGCTTACTTGAAGTGAAAGTATAAACCACGGATAGTATAATTCATCCTTTAAAATATTTCATGTGAACAAATTTCATTTCATATGAATTTCTCAATTCCAGTTTAGGAAATAGCTGCTAAAAACCAATGTTACCGAAACATAGTGTTAAATAATTAACCTACTTTTTTCAGAAAACCCTTTTTAATCTCAGAATGGATTAAGACTTTCCTCAATTTTATATATTTGTTTTCATCTAGAAACACAGTACTATTTATGCATGACCTACTTTTACTTATCTGGAAAAATCTGAATATGAGCTCAATGAAAGTGAGGGTTGTTTTCTCCGGAGTAGGATAAAAAAAAAAAAAGAATTTCACAGCTAAAGCCAGAATCCCTTTCTGGGTGGGGGAAGAGGAAGGAGAGAGATCTTTGTTTAGAGAAAGACCCTGACAGTTTCCATTGAAGATGGAGAATAAGACCTGTTAAAGAAATCTGGAAGGAGGCACTGAAACCCGGAGTGAGTTAACTGCTCAATAAAGAGAATGAACAGAAACTTGGTGACTGGGGAGAAAAAAGCCAGGAGTAGGAGAAGAAAGGAGAGAGAAGTTGTATGTGATGGAGGCAAGAGGGCAACATGGCAGGAGGCGAGAGCCTGTAAAGAAGGGTGATAAATTTTAAAAAATTCCCAGCTATATAGTGGGATAAAAGACTTTTTATAAAGGTAGAGGTTTTTTATTTCTAAACAAGGGAAGAGGTGGTGGGGGAGATGAGAGGAGGAGGACAGGGGGAAGAAGACAGAAGGCGGGAGAGGTGACTACAGAAGATAGTCACAAACACGAAACTTTGCTGGCTTTAAGATGGAGAAGAGGTTACAAGGCAGGGAGCATAGATGGTGGCCTCCAGAAGCTAGGAAAGGCAAAGAGATTCACCCCAGAGCCCTTGGAAATGAACACAGCCCCACTAACACCTTGATTTTAGTCCAGTGAGACTTCTGACCCCCGGGACCATAAAATATTACATGTTATTTTTATCCCATTAATCTTGGGGTAATTTGTTATAGCAGCAATAGAAAACCCAAACAAAAAGCTCCCTGAAATTTGCAGAAATTGCAGATGGTGTTGGACTTTACACTTTGATAGTGGAGGGGGCCTAAGTGAAAATTGTAAAGGGCAATGAAATCTTAGTTAACATTTGAAGTACAACTATTCTGTTGTTCTCATTTTTTAGGAAAACAACAGTAAGTCAAAGCCTTTGTGATTATTATTTTAGACAATTATTTCTTAAAACATTATATATCCTAGTGCCTTAGGATCATGAAAGAACCTCTATTCTTAAAAGTTTGTACTCATGGGATCCTGGATTTGAATCCTACAGTAGTCTCTTAATGCTAATGTGAAACTGGGTAAATCATTTAACCTCTTTAAACCACAGATCTTCATTAGTAAAAAGGAGATAAAAATAAGGATAGTTTGGTAGATTAAATGATGTATATATATATATAGCACTTAATATAGTGACTGGAATTCATACTGACTTTTAAATGCATAATATATAGGAAAGAGAGGAGAAGGATATGAGGATATAAGAAATTGTGGAAATACACAGTTCACAGCTCTAACCAGTGCTGTCGCTCAAAGGGTTGTGATTAGTCAGTCACCAACAATAGCCCAGTAGGTATAAACTCTAGCAGATGGGGATTTACATTAAATATAATGAAGGTTTTAAAATACAATTATTAGATCCTGGATACATTTGCATTGTTGGTTGGACTATGTTGTCTGGAGACCTTTAATGACAACAGATTCTGATCCATTTAGAGGTGGACATGCAGCTATGTGGCTATGTGGCTATGTAGGCAAATGATTTGTGTGGATGGGCTGTTCTATCCCTTGTCCTTTTACCCATGGCTATACAATTTAACACTCACGGCAATAATACTTCTTGTATGTTATTCCAGATTGCTTTTCCTCCCATGATTATTGTCAGCTGAGTTGTCAGTTCAAGAAGACAGCCACCTGGGTCACACTAGAAGGTTAAAAAGAAAATACCATTTAAATATTCAATGGATCTAACTTGAAATATAGGCATTCTATTTTTCTGACATTTGTTCTGTTTAGGCTAAAAAATAAATCTAAGGAATTTACAATAAAAAACTATTCATTTGGGCAACTGAGAGAAAACTCAGCTTAAACTGGCAAGATAATACAATTATATATTCATACCTCTTCATTTCTGTATTTTCCCAACCAATAAACTGGGTCTCCTGGATAGCCTACAAATTTGCCCTTAAAGAATGCTATGTAGAAGCATGAAGAGTAGTAGTTGACAAACTGGAATAAGAACATCTTCATGGTGAGGCTGTTCTCATAATCAGTCTGGGTCCTTGGGAGTTCTGTAGTTAAAAGAAAGAGAAATAAGATTTTAAAATTGTGAACAGCTTTGAGACTCTAATAAAAAATACTGATACATGAGTTAACACGTTAAACACGTTAAAAAAATACAATTCACACTGTTTCCATTTAAGCTGTTTTGAATTCCTTAATATAGCCACTGTGTTAATTCCAAGTTTGCACATTGTTATGAGTTCTCCCTCACAGTAGGAATACAATAGCCCACATGTTCCCCCCTGCCCCACAAAAAAATCAACTGTTCCTTAAAATTTACAAGTCCAGTGTTATCAAATAAGAACTGCCATGGGTATAATTGACAGAAAATTATTTTTGAACTGCCTGCTAAATGATATTCTCTTGTTTTCCTGAATTGCGATAAGGTAGGTCTATTGAAGAAAACAAGCAAACCAAGGTACAACTTGCTAGAGGCATTTGGGAAAAACAAAATAGGTCATCCTCCTAGTGTGGAGTTTGCATCAGTTTGATCATTTTAGATGATCACCGAGCAGGCCATTCAGGGAACGACTCAGACGTATGCAGTGTGGGAAGCACTTAACTTGGCCACTAAACAGCTGCCTGGGATACAAGCCAGAGAGAAGAAACACATTAAAAAATCAAGGGCTGATGAGAATTATATTAATATGAACAGCACAGCACAGGGAAGACACGTAGCAGTGTGATAGCTTGTCCTCTCAGCAACCGAGGAACATATTTGCCACCGGAACCATGACCCTATTCCACTTATTTGCAATAAAGAGACTATTGACTTTCAACAATAGAGTACATGATCTAATGTAATTGAAAATATTATTCAGCACTGATCTGTTTACAGAGAGCTTGGACGTTATGATGATTGTCTTTGCTTTGTCCCTTTTACTAATGCAAAGCTGTAGATAATTTATTTCCATACATGCTAGAGAAAATATGTTTACACTTGAAAATTTCTAAAAATTGTAACCTACTGGAATTGAAACGCCTAAAAGATAACAGTCTCTATTTTTGGCAGGTTCTAAAAATATGTCAGAAGTTACCTAAGCTATAGTAGGACCTTACCGAAGTTAGTAATCATAATTGCCACTTTTTCATATATGGTGTTCAGAATCATGATAATTATAAAGCTGATGATGGAGGCCGTGATGGACGTGGCTGTCTGTGGAGTCAGGTATTTCTGGATTGGGTCTGTTCCATTAATGTTCTTGGGAAGTTTTGCAGAAAATACAATGAACACCGAGAGCCTATAGACAATGATCCCAATAACTGAAGCGATGATCAATAGGATCTGAAAGCACAACAAACACAGTAGCATGAGACTCACCAATAACTGCACTTGTACTATTAAAAACTGAACTCACACTTAACAAGGTGTGTGTGTAAAGTGATGTAAATCTCACATAAGTGATACCAGCGGTGGTAGAAAGTCTGGCATGTTAAATTTTTTAAAAAGAAAAAGGAATGATGGAAGTGAAAAGAAGGCGCATCCACATATGTAAAACATTAACTAGAGGAGAAACTGGGTGCAGGGGGTGGTGGGAAGGAACTGGAAACTATTTTATGTGCAATTTTTCTGTAAACCTAAAATTGCTCTAAAAAAAGTCTATTTAAAAAAGAGTATCTTCAGACAGCATAAAAATGGAACAACTAGTAGCATACTCTGGTAGAAGGAAAAAAATGAGTGTAGAACCAAAGAAAACATCCCTTCTACAATTACTAAATTATTTAAGTTGTGAGTTAATGTTTTTTGCTCACTCATACTCCATGAGGGAGCTACATTTCCTTGCAACAGAAAAGCTATCACCAATTGAAGTGTCAGCAGGTGCTAGCTTTTGTCTTAATCACTGTAGCAGGGGAGAGTCTGAGCACTGCCAGTGAAGCTGGCACAGAGGTGCCCTGAGCTAACTGTTGGTACTGGCAGCAGGTCTCTGCTGATAAAAGCTTCACACACTTTTCACACTCAGATCTTACGACCTTAAACTGGCAGTCATTTGTACTTGTATTTCCACAAGATTCACGCCACTAGTCCACTGTATTTTTGACTGCATAATCCCCAGTAAGAGATTTTCACTTTCTCAGTAAGCAGATTTCTCACCACTCAACGACGCACATTAAAGGCGCCATGAATTTTCCTTACTTGATACACAGTACTAGACACTATTGGAGAGGCATCTTTAAACTGTTTCCCCTACATCTACTTTCTCCAGAACCATGCACTCAAGGTGTGTGACTGCTCGTGATGACAGAAAAGTTTCAGAGAAGGGAAACTGAGGACCAAGCAAACCATATCTTGTTGTTGATAGTAACAGAGGCCAGTTGTCACCTGTGGAGAGCAGTAAAGGGAGTGATTACAGGATGGTCCTGGGGCTAGATTTCTCTATTTGAGTACAAGCTCCACTGGGGCTTCAATATCTTCTCTTGTGTATTAGGAATACTATGGCACCTAACCTATGGAGTTGTTGAGGATTCAATGAGTTACTTCAGGTAAAAACAGAATATTAAGCTCAGATACATGAAAAGCACCAAATAAGTATTAGCTATGATTATAGCAACCAAAGTTAAGTGTTAAAAAAGATGTTTTTCTTGCTCTTTAAGAAATCTGCTTGTAGAGAAGGCATTACATTTCTCCTGTAATCTATTTCCTTTCGCAGTTAAGTCTCAACACTTGTGAGATGAGTAAGATTTGTGTGTATATGTAAAAATTAGATAAGGCTGAGAAAAATTAAAAAGATGAATCAAGTCATCCTCTCTTAGCACAATACATACAGGGTGTTTATTATGTGTTTTTAAAAATTATCTCCATAATGTTTATTATTAATGATAAAGATAACATTCTTTAAGTGCTCTCTGTTCACCTTAGCACATGTATATTTGTTTAATCTCATAACAGGCTTGTGAGGAAGGTAGTATAATATTATCTCTCTTTTACTGATGAGAAAAGAGAGGCTCAAAGACATTAAGCAATATGTCCAAGATTAGATAACTAGTAAAAAGAATTGGGGTCTCCTAAGATTCTGAAGACACACTCACCTCTCCATGGCACTGCCTCCCACGTGGTTTATGAAATGAATTCTAATTCATCCCAGAGCTTTTACAAACTTGTTAAGTTCCCATATTTCTTTGGGGTGCTTCCCATACTTCAATATTTCTTCATAGGGGCAGGAAGCTTTTTATTCTTTTTCCTCAAGTTTATAACTTATTTCTGATTCTAACATTAATACTTTTCTGATCATAACTTTAGTATAAGGTCACTGTGGACAATCTGAAAGTACCTTGTAGTGAACACTGATTGCTTTTGCTAGCCTGGGTCTGTTCTCCATCCTAGAAGAGAACCCAGATTTTGCTTCAGGGGAAAGAACTCCTCTGTTTTTAGCCCTGGGGTTTAGGTGGGATTGCCCTGATGTGCTCCAGAGGTACAACCTGATTGGTTTGAGACAAACATGTAACATCCCACCGGACTCAGCAACTGATCCAGGGATTGACACATAACTCAGTAACAGCCACTGAGAAGTGAGGAGACATCTGTTAGTGCCCATGGGAAAGAGAAGCTTCACCCATCAATAGAGAAAGCCATTAAAAAAAAGACCTCGGCCAGGCGCGGTGGCTCACGCCTGTAATCCCAGCACTTTGAGGGGCTGCGGCGGGCAGATCATGAGGTCAGGAGTTCCAGACAAGCCTGGCCAACATGGTGAAACCCCGACTGTACTAAAAATACAAAAATTAGCTGGGCGTGGTGGCAGGTGCCTGTAATCCCAGCTACTGGGGAGGCTGAGACAGGAGAATCACTTGAACGCGGGAGGCGGAGGTTGCAGTGAGCTGAGACCACGCATTGCACTTCAGCCTGGGCGACAGAGCGAGAACCTGTCTCAAAAAAACAAAAAACAAAACAAAAAAACAAAAAACCTCCCTTGGCTTGGAAGATGTGACATCTGAAATGCTTCAGCCATTCTGCTACCACAAGGAAGTGTCCAGACCCACCATGCCCAGGAGGCCAGCTGACACAGGATGAAAGGAACAAAACACAGCCCTTGACAATATCTGGTCTGCAGTTATCTAGCTTTGACTGGAGCCATACCTCAGGCCTGGAATTTTCAGTTTCAGAGAATAAATAGGTGGAAAGAATAAATCCCACCTCCCCCTCTTTTGCTGTTGTTTAAACCGACTGAAGACCGATTTTCTGCCAAGCATAACTCAAAGATTTCTAACAAAAATAACATTAAATAGGAAAAAATTTATCTACTATCTACATGTGGGCACAATTCCTTCAGGATTATGTATGCATTGTATGCATATTTAAAACCACTTTACATATTTTATCCTTCCCTTAAACCTATCATAAACCATAAGCATTTTTATGTGCCTTAAAAAATCTTCATGACCATACTTTCTCATCGCCGCACAACATTCCACTGTTTGAAGGTTGAGAAGTAGAATATTTTGGTTGATATATATGTTTATGTATATATGTGTGTATATAAATATATACATAAATGTTGTGATAAGTATGTGAAAAAATCTTACTTTTACTGACCATTTTCAAATATTTCCTGATTGAAAGTCCTAAGAGCTAAATTAGTGGATTAAAGCATATGAATATTTTTGAGACTTGAAACACAATTGCTAAGCTGCCTTCTACGAAGCTGGAGCAGTGCAGAATTACAATAGTCTTGTATTGGAGTAGTTGACTGTTGTACTTCATCCTCACAGACACTGAGTCCTATCATTCAAGAGGTGAAAAATCATATCTCACTTTAATGTGAGTGGATTTAATCACTATTGAGATTTGGCATTTTGTAATGGTTATTGGTCATCATATTTTTTTCCTTTGTAATTGCACATTAATGTTCTGTCTCTTTAGCCACTGAGATCTTTGGTGTTATCTTCTAGATGATCTGGACTCCACGTATTAAAGGTATTGACCTCTTGTTTGCCCTATTGTTAACAAATATATCTTCTGGTATTTTGTTTACATTTAGGATACTTTTGATGTATAGAAATATTTAAATGTTTTCCTCTGAAACGTTTTCTATTGCTAGTACATTTAGAAAACGTTTTTACTTCTAAAGATCATATAGTCATCAAATTTATTTGTAGTTTTTTTTTATACTTTAAGTTCTAGGGTACACGTGCACAACGTGCAGGTTTGACACATAGGTATACACGTGCCATGTTGGTTTGCTGCACCCATCAACTCATCGTTCACATTAGGTATTTCTCCTAATGCTATGCTTCCCCTAGCCCCCCACCGCCCAACAGGCCCCACTATGTGATGTTCCCCACGGTGTCCAAGTTATCTCATTGTTCAATTCCCACCTATGAGTGAGAACATGCGGTGTTTGGTTTTCTGGCCTTGTGATAGTCTGCTCAGAATGATGGTTTCCAGCTTCATCCATGTCCCTGCAACAGACATGAACTCATCCTTTTTTATGGCTGCATAGTATTCCATGGTGTATATGTGCCACATTTTCTTAATCCAGTCTATCATTGGTGGACATTTGGGTTGGTTCCAAGTCTTTGCTATTGTGAATAGTGCTGCAATAAACATATATGTGCATGTTTCTTCATAGTAGTATGATTTATAATCTTTTGGATATATACCCAGTAATGGGATTGCTGGGTCAAATGGTATTTCTAGTTCTACATCCTTGAGGAATCTCCACACAGTCTTCCACAATGGTTGAACCAATTTACACTCCCAACAGTGTAAAAGCATTCCTATTTCTCCACATCCTATCCAGCACCTGTTGTTTCCTGACTTTTTAATGATCACCATTCTAACTGGTGTGAGATGGTATCTCATGGTGGTTCTGACTTGCATTTCTCTGATGACCAATGATGATGAGCATTTTTTCATGTGTCTGTTGGCTGTGTAGATGTCTTCTTTTGAAAAGTGTCTGTTCATATGCTTTGCCCACTTTTTGATGGGGTTGTTTTCTTGTAAATTTGTTTGAGTCCCTTGTAGATTCTGGATATTAGCCCTTTGTCAGATGGGTAGATTGCAAAAATTTTCTCCCATTCTGTAGGTTGCCTATTCACTCTGATGGTAGTTTCTTTTGCTGTGCAGAAGCTCTTTAGTTTAATTAGATCCCATTTGTCTATTTTGGCTTTTGTTGCTATTGCTTTTGGTGTTGCTATTGCTTTGGTGTTGAAGTCCTTGCCCATGCCTATGTCCTGAATGGTATTGCCTAGGTTTTCTTCTAGGGTTTTTATGGCTTTAGGTCTAACATTTAAGTCTTTAATCCATCTTGAATTAATTTTTGTACAAGGTGTAAGGAAGGGATCCAGTTTCAGCTTTCTACATACGGCTAGCCAGTTTTCCCAGCACCATTTATTAAATAGTGAATCCTTTCCCCATTGCTTGTTTTTGTCAGGTCTGTCAAAGATCAAATGGTTGTAGATGTGTGGTGTTATTTCTGAGGCCTCCGTTCTGTTCCATTGGTCTATATCTCTGTTTTGGTACCAGTACCATGCTGTTTTGGTTACTGTAGCCTTGTAGTATAGTTTGAAGTCAGGTAGCGTGATGCATCCAGCTTTTTTCTTTTTGCTTAGGATTGTCTTGGCAATGCAGGCTTTTTGGTTCCATATGAACTTTAGTTTTTTCCAATTCTGTGAAGAAAGTCATTGGTAGCTTGATGGGGATGGCACTGAATTTATAAATTACTTTGGGCAGTATGGCCATTTTCACGATATTGATTCTTCTTATCCATGAGTGTGGAATATTCTTCCATTTGTTTGTGTTCTCTTTTATTTCGTTGAGCAGTGGTTTGTAGTTCTCCTTGAAGAAGTCCTTCATATCCCTTTTAAGTTGGATTCCTAGGTATTTTATTCTCTTTGTAGCAATTGTGAATGGGAGTTCACTCATGATTTGGCTCTTCGTTTGTCTCCTAATGGTGTATAGGAGTGCTTGTGATTTTTGCACATTGATTTTGTATCCTAATATTTTGTTGAAGTTGCTTATTAGCTTAAGGAGATTTTGGGCTGAGATGATGGGGTTTTCTAAATATAAAATCATGTCATCTGCAAACAGGGACAATTTGATTTCCTCATTTCCTAATTGAATACCCTTTATTTCTTTCTCTTGCCTGACTGCCCTGGCCAGAACTTCCAACACTATGTTGAATGGGAGTGGAGAGAGAGGGCATCCTTGTCTTGTGCCAGTTTTCAAAGGGAATGCTTCCAGTTTTTGCGCATTCAGTATGATATTGGCTGTGGGTTTGTCATAAATAGCTCTTATTATTTTGAAATATGTTCCATCAATACCTAGTTTATTGAGAGTTTTTAGCAGGAAGGGCTATTGAATTTTGTCAAAGGCCTTTTCTGCATCTATTGATATAATCATGTGGTTTTTGTCACTGGATCTGTTTATGTGATAGATTACGTTTATTGATTTGCATATGTTGAACCAGCCTTGCATCCCAGGGATGAAGCCTACTTGATCGTGTTGGATAAGCTTTTTGATGTGCTGCTGGATTCGGTTTGCCAGTATTTTATTGTGGATTTTCACATCGATGTTCATCAGGGATACTGGCCTAAAATTCTCTTTTTTTGTTGTGTCTCTGCCAGGCTTTGATATCAGGATGATGCTGGCCTCATAAAATGAGTTAGGGAGGATTCCCTCTTTTTCTATTGATTGGAATGGTGTCAGAAGGAATGGTAGCAGCTCCTCTTTGTACCTCTGGTAGAATTTGGCTGTGAATCCTTCTGGTCCTGGACTCTTTTTGGTTGGTAGGCTATTAATTATTGCCTCAATTTCAGAGCCTGTTATTGATCTATTCAGAGATTCAACTTCTTCCTGGTTTAGTGTTGGGAGGGTGTATGTGTCCAGGAATTTATCCATTTCTTGTAGATTTTCTGGTTTATTTGCATAGAGGTGCTTATAGTATTCTCTGATGGTAGTTTGTATTTCTATGGGATCAGTGGCAATATCCCCTTTATCATTTTTTATTGCATCTACTTGATTCTTCTCTCTTTTCTTCTTTATTAGTCTTGCTAGCCGTCTACCAGTTTTGTTGATCTTTTCAAAAAACCAGCTCCTGGATTCACTGATTTTTTGAAGGGTTTTTTGTGTCTCTTATCTTTTTCAGTTCTGCTCTTAGTTATTTCTTGCCTTCTGCTAGCTTTTGAATGTGTTTGCTCTTGCTTCTCTAGTTCTTTTAATTATGATGTTAGGCCGTTGATTTTAGATCGTTCCTGCTTTCCTTTGTGGGCATTTAGTGCTATAAATTTCCCTCTACACACTGCTTTAAATGTGTCTCAGAGATTCTGGCATGTTGCGTCTTTGTTCTCATTGGTTTCAAAGAACATCTTTATTTCTGCCTTCATTTCATTATGTACCCAGTAGTCATTCAGGAGCAGGTTGTTCAGTTTCCATGTAGTTGTGCAGTTTTGAATGAGTTTCTTAATCCTGAGTTCTAGTTTGATTGCACTGTGGTCTGAGAGACAGTTTGTTGTGATTTCTGTTCTTTCACATTTGCTGAGGAGTGCTTTACTTCCAATTATGTGGTCAATTTTAGAATAAATGTGATGTGGTGCTGAGAAGAATGTATATTCTGTTGTTTTTGGGTGGAGAGTTCTGTAGATGTCCATTAGGTCTGCTTGTTGCAGATCTGAGTTCAGGTCCTGGATATCCTTGTTAACCTTCTGTCTTGTTGATCTAATATTGACAGTGGGGTGTTAAAGTCTCCCATGATTATTGTGTGGGAGTCTAAGTCTCTTTGCAGGTCTCTAAGGACTTGCTTTATGAATCTGGGTGCTCCTTTATTGGGTACATGTATATTTAGGATTCTTAGCTCTTCTTGTTGAATTGATCCCTTTACCATTACATAATGGCCTATTTTGTCTCTCTTTTGATCTTTGTTGGTTTAAAGTCTGCTTTATGAGAGACTAGGATTGCAACCCCTGCTTTTTTTTGCTTTCCATTTGCTTGGTAGATCTTCCTCCATCCCTTTATTTTGAGCCTATATGTGTCTTTGCACATGAGATGGGTCTCCTCAATTCAGCACACTGATGGGTCTTGACTCTTTATCCAATCTGCCAGTCTGTGTCTTTTAATTGGGGCATTTAGCCCATTTACGTTTAAGTTTAATATTGTTATGTGTGAATTTGATCCTGTCATTATGACATTCGCTGCTTATTCTGCCCGTTAATTAAAGCAGTTTCTTCATAGGATCGACGGTCTTTACAATTTGGCATGTTTTTGCTGGGGCTGGTACCGGTTGTTCCTTTCCATGTTTAGTGCTTGTTTCAGGAGCTCTTGTAAGGCAGGCCTGGTGGTGACAAAATGTCTCAGCATTTGCTTGTCTGTAAAGGATTTTATTTCTCCTTCACTTATGAAGCTTAGTTTGGCTGGATATGAAATTCTGGGTTGAAAATTCTTTTCTTTAAGAATGTTGAATATTGGCCCCCACTCTCTTCTGGCTCGTAGGGTTTCTGCCAAGAGATGTGCTGTTAGTCTGATGGGCTTCCCTTTGTGGGTAACTCGGCCTTTCTCTCTGGCTGCCCTTAACACTTTTTCCTTCATTTCAACCTTGGTGAATCTGACAATTATGTGTCTTGGGGTTGCTCTTCTCAAGGAGTATCTTTGTGGTGTTCTCTGTATTTCCTGAATTTGAATGTTGGCCTGCCTTGCTAGGTTGGGGAAGGTCTCCTGGATAATATCCTGCAGAGTGTTTTCCAACTTGGTTCCATTCTCTCTGTCACTTTCAGATACGCCAATCAAACACATATTTGGTCTTTTCACATAGTCCCATATTTCTTGGAGGCTTTGTTCGTTGCTTTTTACTTTTTCCTCTAACCTTGTCTTCTCTCTTTATTTCATTAATTTGATCTTCAATCACTGATACCCTTTCTTCCACTTGATCGAATTGGCTACTGAAGCTTGTGCATGCAACACAAAGTTCCCGTGCCATGGTTTTCAGCTCCATCAGGTCATTTAAGGTCTTCTCTACATTGTTTATTCTAGTTAGCCATTTGTCTAACGTTTTTTCAAGATTTTTAGCTTCCTTGCGATGGGTTAGAACATTATCTTTTAGCTAAGAGAAGTCTGTTATTACCGACCTTCTGAAGCCTACTTCTGTCAACTTGTCAAAGTCATTCTCTGTCCAGCTTTGTTCCGTTGCTGGCGAGGAGCTGTGATCCTCTGGAGGGGAAGAGATGCTCTGATTTTTATAATTTTCAGCTTTTCTGCTGGTTTCTCCTCATCTTTGTGGTTTTATCTACCTTTGGTCTTTGATGTTGGTGACCTACAGATGGGGTTTTGGTGTAGATGACCTTTTTGTTGATGTTAATGCTATTCCTTTCTGTCTGTCTGTTTTCCTTCTAACAGTCAGGTCCCTCAGCTGCAGGTCTGTTGGAGTTCCACTCCAGACCCTGTTTGCCTGGGTATCACCAGCGGAGGCTGCAGAACAGCAAATATTGCTGCCTGATCCTTCCTCTGGAAGCTTCGTCCCAGAGAGGTAGCACCCTATATGAGGTGTCTGTCGGCCCCCAGTGGTAGGTGTTTCCCAGTTAGGCTACACGGGGGTCAGGGACCCATTTGAGGAGGCAGTCTGTCCGTTCTCAGAGCTCAAACGCTGTGCTGGGAGAACCACTGCTCTCTTCAGAGCTGTCAGACAGGGACATTTAAGTCTGCAGAAGTTTCTGCTGCCTTTTGTTCAGCTATGCCCTGCCCACAGAGGTGGAGTCTGGATGCATTAGGCCTTGTTGAGCTGCGGTGGGCTCTGCCCAGTTTGAGCTTCCTGGCCGCTTTGTTTACCTACTCAAGCCTCAGCAATGGTGGACGCCCCTCCCCTAGCTAGGCTGCCACCTCGCAGATTGATCCCAGACTGCTGCGCTAGCAGTCAGGAAGGCTCCTTGGGCATGGGACCCACTGAGCCAGGCATGGTAGAGAATCACTTTGTCTGCTGGTTGCTAAGACCTTGGGAAAAGTGCAGTATTTGGGCAGGGGGTGTCCCGTTCTTCCAGATAGTCTGTCACGGCTTCCCTTGGCTAGGAAAGGGAAATCGCCCGACCCCTTGTGCTTCCTGGGTGAGGCGATGCCCTGCCCTGCTTCAGCTCGCCCTCTGTGGGCAGCACCCACTGTACAACCAATCCCAATGAGATGAACCAGGTACCTCAGTTGGAAATGCAGAAATTACCCGTCTTCTGTGTTGATCACGCTGGGAGCAGCAGATGGGAGCTGTTCCTATTTGGCCATCTTGGCAACTTCCTTTTTAACATTTTTTTTGAGACAGAGTCTCACTCTGTCACCCAGGCTGGAGTGCAGTGGTGCAGTCTCGGCTCCCTGCAACCTCCACCTCCTAGACTCAAGCAATTCGCCTGCCTCAGTCTCCCAAGCAGCTGAGATCACAGGTGAACACCTGGCTAATTTTTGTATTTTTAGTAAAGACAGGGTTTCGCCATGTTGGCCAGGCTGATCTCGAACTCCTGACCTCAGGTGATCTGCTGCCTTGGCCTCCCAAAGTGCTGGGATTACAGGCGTGAGCCACCATGCCTGGCCTTTAATTTTTTTTTTAATGTTTTTGAAATTTATTATAGTATATGGTTTAAAGTAAGACTTTAACATTTATTGTCCCCCCAAATAGCTAACAAGTATTCCATTACTATTTATTGAATAATCTCCACTTGTCTGATGGATTTATAATGCCTCTTTTCTGACATATTACATTTTTATTGCTATCAGGGGCTATTTCTAGGCTTCATGTGCTATTCTTGAATCTGGCTCTTCTTGAGCCATTAAAACTCACACTAAATTATTACATCACTAATATGATTCCATCAATAAGCCTAAAACTAACTTAGTAAGTACTGATATTTTACAGAAAATGTGTTTCTATCTAGAATCATTCATTTAATTATCATTCATTCAGATCCTTTACAACTTTCAAGAGTTTTTATGTTTTCTTTGATAGTTCCTATTATCTTTTTGTTAAGGGTATTCCTAGACATTTTATTTATTTTTTTTTTGAGATGGAGTCTTGCTCTGTTACCCAGTCGAGTGCAGTGGTGTGATTTTCACTCACTGCAACCTCCGTCTCCTGGGTTCAAGTGACTCTCGTGCCTCAGCCTCCCGAGTAGCTGGGACTACAGGTGTGTGACACCTTGCCTGGCTAATTTTTGTATTTTCAGTAGTGACGGGGTTTCATCATGTTGGCCAGGCTGGTCTTGACTCCTGACCTCAGGTGATCCACCCACCTTGGCCTCCCAAGGTGCTTGGATTATAGGCATGAGCCACCGCCCCTGGCCAACATTTTATTTTGATTGTTGCTGTTGGAAAATTTTAGAATTCTTAATGCCTTCCATTTGGTCTTCACCAGAAACTGGAAAATCCTGAATCACTGATTTAACAGATGAGGTGAAAAGAACTAGAAGAACCTCTGTGAACAGATAAGGTATCTCGAACCTTGGGAGTTGCTCTATGTGGTGGCTAAAATAGTTATCTGGAAATATCTGTCTGTCTCTCTGAGACCATATAGTTTCCAGGCTCAGCATTTAGTTTCCTCAACATTTAAAATTAGATATTAAAAAAATCTGTTACATAATAAAAACATTTTTAATCATTCAAAACATTTTTGTGATAGAATTACCCAGAAAAAGACAGCACTGGCACAGAGGGTTATCCGTATACATTTTCCCCAGGCAGTAAAGGGAATGCGTTCTTCTTCCTAATTACAAAAACAAAAAAGTTTAGTCAATCAAGGGATTACTGTAATAAAATTATTTTTCTCCTGACTCGCCAATAAATCTTAGAATTAATTTTAAAAAATTAGTTTGCAAGCATAGTCTCCTTACTCATAATTGCACTTTTTTGTTAACAATTTCAAAGTCACACATCACAAAACATGTGCAGTGTTCATTTTAATAAGTTTTTGGAAAATGCAAGCATGAATAAACTGTTTATCGGCCACGACCCGAGCTCAGGAATCTGGGTGTCTGATGGTGCCAAGCTGCAAAGCTATACTTCTGGGCTTGTCTTAGGTTTTAGAAATCGCTGTGATGATAGCGCAGAGCACAGGCAGGACAAAAAGTTTCCTAGATGTCTGCAAATACTAGGTATCCACTATGTGTTTCTTGGTTGGGCTTTATATATTAACTTTGAATAAATTTTTAGAGGATTTCCATTTTATAGTTCATAAAAATATATTTAAATTCTTAAGAGTAGAAATCAACCCTCTACATGATTTACCTGTATTGTAAGAGCAGCCTAATAACAGCTGCAAATACTTAAGAGTATTTAACTCTGTGCCAGGCACTATTCTAAGTAGCTTCTATACATTAACTCAATCCTTAGCTGCGATCATGAGGAAACAACTGTATTATTCCCATTTTATAGATGAGGTCACTGAGGCACCGGGAAGTTAACTAATTGGTCCAAGATCACCCAACTAGTAAGTTGCTGTGGTCAGACATGAACTCTGGCATCAGAGACTTCACCATCACACTATAGGCCTCTCTAAACAAAGGGAGGGTATGTGGGCAATGAAAGTGAAACGAGGAATAACCATAAAGAAAAAGGAACCTTCACTTGCAATGTTTTAACAAGTAACACTTCAAGGGAAATTTAACTTATAAGCTGGCAATTTTAACTATAAAATTGGCAGGTTTAAATGACCAAATTGTCTTTTCTTCAGTATTTTTCCCATGTTGCTGGTATTATAAGATTTTTTAGTGCTCAAACTACTTCATAAACATCTAATTTTGTTTAAGTTTTGGCTTTCATTTCTGAATATACAATCTTTCAACAACATATGCTTTGACCCTGTCCTCTCTAGTAAACAGCAGGAACTATTCATAATGGGGATTATTTGAAGCTTTTACATTGCGAAAGACAAATGTCACTTTCTACTGGTAATTGAACCTCGTTTTTTCCCATTTGTAAAAGGAAGAGGTTGAACTGTTCCCTCTGGTTCCTTTTAGTGCCAACATTTTGTAAATCTGTGATTCAATTTATAAAACCTATAGTTGGGAACACTTTCAGACATTCTTGGTAAAAGCATTTTCTTTCCAAGAGCTATTCGTATTCAGAACCTACTGTTCTTATGCTGATGACTGCAAGTACAATCAGCTCAAAGTTTTCTGTGTTGATGGAAAGAAGCAAGAATGCAGATGATTTAAAAATCATCTTTCAGGGACTTTGGAATATTTATACAGACAGAATATAGTTTTTTATCTTTGGAGTAGTGGTAGCAGCAGCAAATCTACCTTTCCAATGACATAAAATACCTAGCACAGTACCTGAACAGAGTTGGACCTCAAAAAATACTTTCCTTCTTCCTCCATCCTTTCTCCAACTTTAGGATAAAGGCCACACTATTTTCTGCACATCCCAACCAGAAGGTGGAGCAGTGACTGAGGCTTACTGCAAGATAAAGGGGCAGCTGGTCTAGGATGAATAAGGGGCTGGAATAATGAAAGTATACGTGAAAAATTGAGAATCAACTATAAAAACCAGTGCCTCTTTCCTTATATCACTATGTCACAGTAAAAATTATTTTTTTGTATTTTTACTGTTTTTATGAAAGAAGGGGCCCCATTTATCTCCTGTGTCTACTGTTCTAAGCAGTGCTTCTTCACTTTGGCTGCACATCAGAATTACCAAAGGAGCTTTAAAAAAAACCCCTGTGCTCAGAATACCCCCAGGTTACTAAGTACCAGAGTATGTAGTGATGGAACTCAGGTATCAATATTTTTTAAGCTCCCCCAAGTGATTCTAATGTGCGGCCAAGGAGGAGAACCACAGCAGTAAGTAGATTAAACTGCACCTAAATACGACCCTGCTTACCTGAGTAATCTCATTTATCACTACGTGAGTACATCGTGCTTCGTATTCTGGTCGGGCTTGTTCTTCCTGCTGTAACTCAACAGTATCCCATTCATACTCAAGTTCTGCCTGGCGTCGCTTCCAAAACTCCAAAAACAAGGTAACTAACAGAGAGACAGAAGAGCTTGTGTGGATTTTCAATGATGACTGATGTTTCAGAAATCTGTACTGAATAATATTAATTATCCATTGTACTGGCCTGTTTTCACACTGCTATAAAGAACTACCTGGACTGGGTAATTCATAAAGGAAAGAGGTTTAATTGACTCACAGTTCTGCATGGCTGGGGAGGCCTCAGGAAACTTAAAATCATGGTGTAAGGTGAAGGGAAAGCAAAACACGTCTTACATGGCAATAGGAGAGAGAGAGCACGGAGGAAAGTGCCACAGCTTTAAACCATCAGATCTCATGAGAACTCACTCACTATCATGAGAACAGGATGGGGGAAATCCAACCCCATGATCCAATCACCTCCCACCAGGCCCCTCCCCTGACACATGGGGATTATAATTCGACATGAGATTTGGGTGGGGACACAGAGCCAAACCATATCATCCATAATACTTTTGTATATGGCAAATCAAATCTAAATTATAGGAGATACTACTATTTAAAAGGGAAAAACATGATTTTAAAGAAAAATGTTGGTAATTTACAACATTATGAAATAGACTATAGATGCTGGGAAAGGCAATGTGATGGTCAGAAGACATGTGAGTATGTCTGACACTGAAGCATATGTTCCAGCACCTTATTGCCAACTAAAACACAAATAATGATCACAGTTCCAAAGGAGCTCATGATCCATCCTTCATCTGCTTTTCCCCGTGCCCTCATTCTTGTACTCTCCTTTCCTTCCTAAGGGCCTACAGGGGAAGAGGAATACTTTAGGATGTCCCAAATAAATTAATATTCATTCATACGGAAAACTAGTATTTTTCTCAATCTTATATAATGTATGACTAAAATAATTTTTTAGGAATCATTTTTCAGAATTTTTAACTTTAAATAGTAAATAAAAACATTAAATGTTAATTGAAAAAATGCAGTTTCAGGGTAAATACCCCATGCCCTTCTTCTAATCAGACTGCGAACCCTAAGTCCTTCCTATAAAAAAATTCTGTAATCACCACTCTTCTATTTACAAACATTCTTTGAGTGTCTACTATCAGCTGGGAATAAAGAGAAAACAAGACACAGTCCCTGCTTCAAGGAGCTCCTAGGCATATGAGAATTATGCTGTCCTTGAACTGACAGGTATAGTTGATTATTAAGAGGGCTATGATAAAGGTAAGCACAGGTTGCTCTGGGCACACAGAACCAGAACATTTAACTGGGTGTTTCGGGGAAGGCCATCCCAGAGGAGGGGACCACAGTGATGAGTCCTGAGATGCCTCAGAGCTGATCAGGTGAAGGTGGTGGTGGGTGGAACACTAAGGCCACCTACCCCCAGGGAGCTGCGCATGCAAAGGCACGGAGGCCAGAGGGCCAGGTACTTTCCCAAAACTGCAAATAATCTGGTAGTAAGTGAAAGGTGTGATGGAGGTGGGGCAGCCAGGTAAGAGCTCTGCAGGGGCACATCACAAAGGGTTTTCTGTGCTTTGAAAGGAGTTTAGAGAGTTTAACGTACAGATGGAGGAGACTTTGAAGGTAGTCTAGAGTGAGACTAGGGGCAGGGAGACCTGCTGGCAGGTACATGATGCAGCAAGATCCTTGAGGGACGTTGAGAAGGCAGACGGATGGATGCAGGTATGACAGATGGATGCAGGTATGACAGAAGGATGCTAGCCAGGTTTCTGACTTAGGCAATATCCTAAATTCTAGTGGCATTCCTTGGAAATAGGAAGTGTCTTAAGAAGGTCAAGTGTGCAAGAGGAGACACCTGGTTTGGTTATGATCAGATGCAATGTATGTGGACTACTCAAGAAGAAATGTCCAGTAGATAGGTAAAAGTCTACAACATAGGAGGAAGATCTGGATTGAGATGGATTTTCATTGTTTTAAGTGGCAATTGGGGCCATGAGAGAATAAGACCATTAAATGAGATGCAGGGTAGTAATCACACCCTGGCTGCAGGTAAGAAGGACCAGGGAGCTTTTACAAAATACTGAGCCCAGGTACCACCCTGTAAATTATAAATTATGATTTTTGGTCTGGAATGGGGCCTGAGCATAGTTGTTTTGTTTGTTTTTGTTTTGTTTTGTTTTTAAGGTTTAATACGCAGTCAGGGTGGAGACTCACTGAAGTAGAGAGTGAAGAGAGCCAGAATGAAATCCTGCAGACCCTGCAGCAGGCAGCCTGAAATGCAGGAGGCAGTCTTGGGATGCACCTGTAAGGAGCAAGAATCCAACACTCCCCAATGGCAAAGACAACTGAACATGTTTAAAAGCACTCACTTCCTAGCAGTGTTTGTTTTGACTACTACTTTTCCAGTAAGTTAGAGTAGAAATAACCTGGATGTTGGAATCAGGATCAAATTGTTGAGTGTTTTATATAGAGGGTGATGGCTACTGAGAAACAACCCAGACATTTGTGCTTCTGTACCTGCCCAAGGGGAAATGAAGTGAGTATTGGCTTCTTTGTCAATGGGATGGAAATCTAGAGGGCACCATGTCCTTTTGTGGACTGACATGTGACTGGCTGGTCTTGGTGCCCAGCTGAGCCATGCTGGTCTCAGGTGGCAGATACTCCCCAAAGAGACCCTGTTGGGAGGAATGAGCCACCCATGAGCCAACCCTCCCTAGGCTGCATATGAAGCAGCATAACATACACCACCCACTTACCAAAGCCCAAGGTTCTGCATCCCCTTGATAAACTCCCATACATCTCCATCAACAGAGGACTCTACTTTTTAATCTACCAAGAATCCTACTGCCAGTATTGCATATGCCCCCACCCCTGAAGCTCCCTCAGCTCTGTCTCCCACTCTGTAATTATGCAATCATTCCAGCGGTCATGTGCATTCTCTCAGAAAGGGCCCATTTTATTCCCTTTGTCAACCCTTCTTCTGCCCTTCAAAATATTAATACATAGCACTCATGCATCCCAACCTATATCTGCTTCTAGGTCTACTGTCTATCATACCCACTGGAATGTCACCTTCACATGTGCAGGGATTTGGTTTTGTTCATAGCAGAAGCACTACGACATAGTAGGCATGTAACGAATGAATGCACTGAATGAACAAACTGAAGGAAACCACCCAGAAACTGGAGGACCCCCACCACCTGGGGAATAATCCACTCAGAGGTCCCAGCTGACTCCAACTGCTCACCTCTACACATAACCACCCACTGTCCTTACTTCCTGCTATGCTAGTCTACTTGGGCCTTCAGTACCTCCTGTACAGATGTACCTTGATTTATCGTGCTTTACAGATAGTGTTTTTATCTTCTTACAAATTGATTGTTTGTGGCAACCCCACGTTGAGCCTCTATCAATGCCATTTTTCCAACAACATGTACCCACTTTGTGTCACATTTTAGTAATTCTCACATTTCAAATTTTTCATTATTATTGTATCTTTTATAGTGGTCTGTGATAAGTGATCTTTCTTTGATGTTACTATTGTAATTGTTTTGGGGCAACATGAAGTCCACCTATGTAAGACAGCAAAATTAACAAATGTGTGTGGTCTGACCATTCCACTGACTGGCTGCTTCCCCATCTCTCTGCCTCTCTTCTGGCCTCTCTATTCTTTGAGATGCAACAGTAGTGAAATTAGGCCAATTAATAACCCTACAATGGCTTCAAGGTGTTCAAGTGAAAGCAAGACTCACACATCTCTCACTTTAAATGAAAACTAGAAATTACTAAGTTTAGTGAGGAAGGCATATCGAAAGCTAGGCCTCTTGTGCCAGTTTGCCAAGCTGTGAGTGCAAAGGAAAAGTTCTTGAAGGATATGAAAAGTACTACTCCAGTGAACACACAAATGACAAAAAAGTGAAACAACCTTATTGCTGATACGGAGAAAGTTTTAATGATCTGGATAGAAGACCAAACCAGCCACAATATTCCCTTAGACCAAAGCCTAATTCAGAGCAAGGCCAGAACCCCCTTCCACTCTATGAAGGCTGAGAGAGGTGAGGAAGCTGCAGAAGAAAAGTTTGAAGCTAGCAGAGGTTGGTTCATGAGGTTTAAGGAAAGAAATCATCTCCATAGCATAGAAGTGCAAGGTGAAGTAGCAAGTGCTAACTGGCAGCAAGTTATTCAGAAGATCTAGCTAAGATCATTGATGAAGGTAGCCACACAACAGACTTTCAAGGTAGATGAAATAGCCTCCCATTGGAAGAAGATGTCATCTGGGACTTTCACAGCTAGAGAGAAGTCAACGCCTGGCTTCAGAACTTCTAAGGACAGGCTCACTCTCTTGTTAGGGGCTAATGCAGCTGGTGACTTCATGTTGAAGCCAACGCTCTTAGATCATTCCAAAAACCCTAGGGCCTTTAAGAATTATGTGAAATCTACTCTGCCTGTAATCTAAATGGAACAATAGAGCCTAGATGACAAGCACATCTGTTTATAACATGGTGTGTTGAATTATTTTAAGCCCATTGTTCATAAAAAATTACTCTTTTAAAAAAATTACTGCTCATTGGCAATGCATCCACTCACCCAAGAACTCTGATGGAGATGTACAGAGATTAATATTGTTTTCATGGCTATGAACACAACATCCGTTCTGCAGCCCATAGATCAAGGAGTCCTTTTACATTTTATTATTTAAGAAATACATTTAGTAAGGCCACAGCTGCCATAGATAGTAATTATTTGGCTAGATGTTGGCAAAATAAGCAGAAATCTTCTGGAAAAGATTCACCATTCTAGATGTCATTAAGGACATTTATAATTCATGGGAGGAGGTGAAGATGTCAACATTAACAGAAGTTTAGAAGACGTTGATTCTAACCCTCATGGATGACTTTGAGAAGTTCAAGACTTCAGTGGAGGAAGTCACTGCAGATGTGGTAGAAAGAGCAAGAAGAACTAGAAATGGAGTCTGAAGATGTGACTGAACTGCTGTAGTCTCATGATCAAACTTGAAGGAATGAGAAGTTGCTTTCTATGGATCTGCAAAGAAAGTGGTTTCTTGAGATGGAATCTACTCCTGGTGAAGATGCTGTCATTACTGAAACGACAACAAAGGATTTAGAATATCACACAAACTTAGTAGATAAAGCTGTAGTAGGGTTTGAGAGGATTGACTCCAATTTTCAAAGAAGTTCTACTATGGGTAAAATGCTACCACACAGTATCACATGCTAGAGAACTCTTTTGTGAAAAAAGAGTCCACTGATGTGGCAAACTTCATTGTTGTCTTATTTTAAGAAATTTGCATAGCTACCTAAACCTTCAGCAACCATCCTCCTACCTAATCAGTCAGCAGCCATCAACATCGAGGCAAGACCCTCTCACAGCAAAAAGATTAACACTCTCTAAAGGCTCAGATGATTGTCAGCATTTGTAGTAATAAAGTATTTTTTAATTAAGGTATGTACATTTTTTGACAAATGCTATGCACACTCACTAGACTATAGTATAGTATAACCATAACTTTTATATGCACTGAGAAACAAAAATTTGTGTGGCTCCCTTTACTGTGATACTCGCTTTCTTGTGGTGGTCTGGAACCTTACCCACAGTATCTCTGAGGTAGTCCTGTACCTAGCAAGAGGCCAGGATAACCCTAGATGGAGAATATACCATGAAGCATTGACAGTTTACTGGTGAGATCAAGCTTTAGCACCTTGACTGTGGGGAGGAGTCCAGGGTCAACATGCTGAAGGAATTATCATGGGTACTCTTCTACCTTACAGACTGCAAACATACTCTTCCAGCATAACCATTTTTTAAAGTATGTTGTGACTAAGCACATTAAAATCTTGTTGCACTTTGACACCTACAGGCATAAATGAAAAACTGGTACTTATAAGCCTGTTAAAATTAGGCTGGAAGATGGGTGGTTTCTTATTTTTCCGATAGAAAGAAGGGTCTGCACCTGTGTCACATGAGGTAGAACCAAGGAGACTAAACTGACATTTTCTAACCCATTCTCATTTTTTTCACAGCACCAAAAATAATGCAATTATGTCAGTAAAAACCAAATTATTTCTGCATCTTTCTCAAAGCTTGCTGCAACTTCATTAATATACACTGTATTTTGTCATCAATCTAAAGACTGATAATAGCCAAATTATTGGCAGAACTCTTATTCTATGCTTGTCACTTTCTGTCTGTGGGGCTTTAGGTAATTGGCTTAATCTTCCTGAGTGTCATCTTCTTCATCTTTAAAATCGGAGTGTGATAGCCACTCATTTACTCAGTACCTATCTAGTATCTATCTCAGTATCTATAAGGTATCAACAGGAGATAATTCATGATAATATTCTTAACTTTTCTCACAAAGAGTAACATAAGCAACTCTAGTCGGTGCTATAAGGGAAGAACAGTGGATGTCCTCTTCCCTCCTCCCTGAATTTGAACATACTGGGTAAAATGCTTCTGTTTACGAAATTCTGAACTATAGGAAGCAGTTCTGCCTGGGAAGTGATAGGATTGCAATGCAAGCAAGACATAGTCTGGTGTTAGCAAATCCTCAGCCTTGAAGGAAAACCCCTGGGAATTGCAGCGACAGGTGAGTGTTTTAGTTCCTTATTTCACTCAGCCACAGATTCTGCAGGGTCTATGGAAGGCACTGCTAACCTAGTAGTCATCCAGTGTTTTGGAGTACTCCTGGGCCACGCCAGTGCTGACTCACAATGCTGTGTGTCCCAGATTGAGGGCACCAAGCCCTGGGGTGACCGTGCATGATCACAGACAGAAATTTCTGTTCCGTATCTTTTGCTCTCTCCCCCTGCAATAAGACAACTGATAGAACTTCAGCAGGGAGCAACACACTTCTGTTCTCTGGCAATCCAGAGGTGCTAGCTGATTAGGCACAGTTAAAACTCTTACATCAACATATAATAAGAAAAGAGAAAGGTTGTCTGGAACTTGGGGATCAATAACAGCTCTTCCTCTTAATCAGGATATTACTGTATCTAAACAAAATATGCATCAGATGAAGAAGATGCACATATACATAAAAAGGTTTCAGAGCAGTAAAGTGTTATGGTGTTATATCCTGCATTGTCTAAGGATGAGACACACTCTGGTAGATGGGAATGTTCTGGTTGCTGTAAGAGTTTGCTGCTGAAGGTCTAGGATGTTTTAACGCCTTGAAACCATTTAGGCCTCGTAACCCACAGAGGCAGAGAAGTTAGATTAACTTCCTCAGCCTTTATTGCAACTTTTTTTTTAAGATGGAGTCTTACTCTGTCGCTCAGGCTGGAGTGCAGTAGTGTGATCTCGGCTCACTGCAAACTCTGCCTCCTGGATTCAAGCAATTCTTGTGCCTCAGCCTCCAGTTGGGATTACAGGTGTGCACCATCACACCTGGCTAATTTTTGTATTTTAGTAGAGGCGAGGTTTCACCATGTTGGCCAGGCTGGTTTCAAACTCCTGACCTCAGTGATCCACCTGCCTCAGCCTCCCACAGTGCTGGGATTGCAGGCGTGAGCCACCACACCCAGCCGTTTATTCCAACCTCCTAATTCAAGGGCTAGAAACTCTCTTGCAGCTAGGGTTCCAGATCTGATTTTTTAAAATGCCTCTCAGAAGCATCTGTATGTCACTTAAGTCAGAAACTGGGCTGAACAGAGTCAGGGTGGTGGTAGCAGGAGATGCATTATTTTGCTGGTGTGGACCTAGCAGAAGCAGCACAGGTCTGAAAGTAACAGTCACAGCAGCTGTTTTCTGATCCCCAAGTGCAGCTAGTTAGGCTTCCTGGTTCCCCAGATCCTTAGTGAGCCAGATGACTGGTGGTTTTCTGGAAATAAGTAGGCCTAGTTTAGAACTCACCCCTCAAAGGTGAAAATTAAACATTGCAGTCATGCAGCCAAGTCTGATCCAGGGAGAATCAGGTGTAAGTAGGCAAGATGCAACAAGGAAGGGAGTGGGCAGGATGTGTTTAGAACCTTTACTTCAACCATGGGTTGGTGTTTAGGACTCTATGAATCAGTATGAACAGGTGGGCTGCCTTGTCCTGAAAGGATGGACATTTTTAAGGTACGTATATGATTTATATTATATTGATTACAAAAGGTTTTCTACTCTCAACTTTCATAATTTCTAGGGAGCAGAAAAATAAGTGCCATATGCGTCTGGGCACAAAAAAGATGCTGCAGGAACATAATGGTGGTGATATGAATAACTTCACAAGAGGCTGTAGCCTGTTTGGTTCTGCAATTTCAAACTTTCTGTAAAGTGGTTCACAGCAGTAGTTCTCAAAGCAGAAGTAACAAGGAAAGCCACACAAAGCACTTAAAGTTTATCATACATATCCTTAAAAATATACATACGATGCTATAGGCAGTGCTGAAATACTTTCTGCATTCAAAAATCAGATAAAATCAGCAGCTAATGTGTAAGTCAGTTCTATAACCATGGTGTAGTTAATGATCAGAGAAAGGAAGGTTAGCTAGTAAATTTGAGGCTTGTCTTTCTAGTGTCAAAATTAACATTTTTTGCTTTATTTCAAATGTCTTCTTTAATTGGGGCTATCAGCATCCATTAGTATATGCAGTTTAGTAGATGTGTTAGAATGTTATACATTATGATTCAACGCTGAGAGTACGGTTAATAGTTAAAATGCTGACCCATGTGTTCAGCACCTAAGCTCTTACTGGGCGGAAGGGGAGGGCGGAGAAAGGTGTATTACAATGGAGGAGCACAGAGGATCTTAATACATACATTCAATCTTTATTCTTCTATGGGTCAAATATTAGTCAGAGTTTGGTCTCCAGCCAAAACATGCTAAATGGCTGAATGCCAATGTAACTGACTGGGATGTTTGGCCACCTTACAGTGCACTTTATCTGTGGAGCGGCAACAAATATCTCTAAAAAGTGAGCAAAATAACTGGATTGTCTGTTCTGTGATCCATTTGGTAATTCTTCATAGGCACAATCACTACCAAACAGAAATACTGCTGAGGACACCGTAAATAACTGATTCTGTGAGTTACACACATTGACGTGTTGTCTTTTAAAGAATAAGAAACTTGGTTCAGTTTTTTCCTCTGCCTTCCTATAACCTGAATTCTGTTGTTCCTCATACTTACACAATGAAATTGGAAATGCATCTAATTTTGAAAATGGAAATTTTTCTTCTACGTTAGAACATTCAGATCAATTAAACATTTAAAGTTTGCATTTAAAGAAAATGATAATTGCCTCATTGTATTAATGATTCTATCCCAAAGTAAATAATATATAGTGGTAAAGTTCCCATATGGGAATTAGATCCTGTAGAATTATATCTGTTCTAGTTAGTAAGTAGAGTTTGTTGTTATTATACGAGTAGCAGATACTCATTAAATATCCGCTCACATAGAAGTGTATGAGAAAGAAAGCTCACCCATAATCACTGTGTTGCTGCTTCCTCCTGATCTCCACCCCCATAAAAGTTAGGTTGTATCACACTGTGAGGGCTGTTGCAATAATGGCTTCCAACAAATCATGCCTCCTACATCCAAGCCACTGGGTAGTACTCCCACCGCCCCACATTGATGCTGGTTTGGCCATATGACTTACTTTGGTTGATGGGACATTAGCTAACTTGGTGCAACAATAGGCTTAAAAATGCATATGCACTGAAGCTTGTCCTCTCTTCTCTTTGGAACCCTGAAACCAAGACTCCTGGGCTAGCCTACTTGAAGATGAGACACCATGTGGAGCAGAGAAGCCTTCCCAGCCGAGCCCCACAGACCAAACCGGGTTTCTAGTTGCAAGATCATCTATCCCCAGTGGAGCTGCCAGCTTACTGGAGAGTCAGCTGAGCCAACCCATGCCTGAAGAACTCTCAGCTGACCCAGAGAATGATGAGAAATAATAAACATGAGAAATAAAGTTTGTTGTTTTAAGCCACTATATTTTGATGCAGATTTTAATATAGTAAAAGTTAACTGATAAATGCCCTCAGTTATAAATGGAATTCTAGGGGAGTTGAAGCCTGGGCAATACAAGATCCTAAAAGTGGGTTACTTTGATAGCCTACATAAAACTGTGTAATACTATCAAATTGAGTGCATGAAAAAAAAAAAAAAAACTTACCCCATACTCCCATAAATACTGCAAAGACCAGGGTTCCAAAACTGTCGAAGATGCACAATTTCTGGAAAATATAAATGACATATAAATGAGTCATATCCTCCACTTATTAGGATTCAGTAAATATGAAATGCTTTGTCTATTCTACAGTCTTGAAGTTCTTTTCAAAGGTGATGCCTAGTTTAACAATCATCTATGATCATACATCATTCAATGTATCCACTACATACTTATAGATGAAATTTGATTCTTTTCAAAGCAAAGTCTTTGCTGTATTAACCAGTGTATTTTCCAGTGAAACTCTGCATATCCCAATAAGGAAACAGGTATAGTTCCTAGAATTCCACTGTGTTTAAAGCCTCCATTGGGCTTGAATAACAGCCTCTTATGAGCTGTCATAATGGATTTGAGGAAGCAGTATGGATCTACAAATACAATGATCCCTAAGCAACTTTTAGATATATGATTTACATTTTATCATCATCCCACCCTGGTCAGAGGGTAAGTTTCAGAATTCCTGTTTTTCCTGTTAAGAGACGTACAAAGCTGAGGTTTATCTCGAAGTGGCTCTCCTCCAGGAGAACTCTGTTTTCTTAAACCCAATGATGGCTTTTCTACCATCACTGACAGATGCTTCTATTGGAATAAAGGATGCAGAGGTGCTTTTGCTAACATTACAATGAATACAATGATCATGAATGATAAATAACGTATCTGGCCAAATAAGGCTTTATTTACTAGTTCTGCTAAGTTTTATCCTTTTGCTATTATATATGTAGCCTATCTCCCTCTATGAGTTCCTGGAAAATATTTTAATTCGTTACTAATTTTTCATTAGTGAGCATTTTTACATTTCCTAAAAATTACTATAAAGATAATGGAAAAAGTGACAAGCATATTATATCTACTTTATGACAGATAATATAAAAGGACAGGGACTGGGTAGAAAAGCTATAGGTAAAAAAAAAAAAAACCTTTTCAAATGCTGAAAGAAAATTCAAAGCTGCTTCAAAGTAGAAAAGTCTGCTTTAGGTGATTTTTTGGGTTGCTCTTCATACTCATGTAAAGTGGATAAACCTTCATCTATGTAAAAATATTAGTTATCTTCATAAAAGAATAGCGACATTCTCATCCATCTAATTTTCAAGGCCCCCTCAATCGTCCACATTGATTGTGATGAGAAAGCAAGCATAATCCTAAATTGTCTGTCATCCAATCATTCTTCTTCTTTTTTTTTTTCAATATTCTTTTTTTTTCTTTTATTATTATACTTTAAGTTTTAGGGTACATGTGCACATTGTTCAGGTTAGTTACATATGTATACATGTGCCATGTTGGTGCGCTGCACCCACTAACTCATCATCTAGCATTAGGTATACCTCCCAATGCTATCCCTCCCCCCTCCCCCCATCCCACAACAGTCCCCAGAGTGTGATGTTCCCCTTCCTGTGTCCATGTGATCTCATTGTTCAATTCCTACCTATGAGTGAGAATATGCGGTGTTTGGTTTTTTGTTCTTGCGATAGTTTACTGAGAATGATGATTTCCAATTTCATCCATGTCCCTACAAAGGACATGAACTCATCATTTTTTATGGCTGCATAGTATTCCATGGTGTATATGTGCCACATTTTCTTAATCCAGTCTATCATTGTTGGACATTTGGGTTGGTTCCAAGTCTTTGCTATTGTGAATAATGCCGCAATAAACATACGTGTGCATGTGTCTTTATAGCAGCATGATTTATAATCCTTTGGGTATATACCCAGTAATGGGATGGCTGGGTCAAATGGTATTTCTAGTTCTAGATCCCTGAGGAATCGCCACACTGACTTCCACAATGGTTGAACTAGTTTACAGTCCCACCAACAGTGTAAAAGTGTTCCTATTTCTCCACATCCTCTCCAGCACCTGTTGTTTCCTGACTTTTTAATGATTGCCATTCTAACTGGTGTGAGATGGCATCTCACTGTGGTTTTGATTTGCATTTCTCTGATGGCCAGTGATGATGAGCATTTTTTCATGTGTCTTTTGGCTGCATAAATGTCTTCTTTTGAGAAGTGTCTGTTCATATCCTTCACCCACTTTTTGATGGGGTTGTTTTTTTCTTGTAAATTTGTTTGAGTTCATTGTAGATTCTGGATATTAGCCCTTTGTCAGATGAGTAGGTTGCGAAAATTTTCTCCCATTCTGTAGGTTGCCTGTTCACTCTGATGGTAGTTTCTTTTGCTGTGCAGAAGCCCTTTAGTTTAATTAGATCCCATTTGTCAATTTTGGCTTTTGTTGCCATTGCTTTTGGTGTTTTAGACATGAAGTCCTTGCCCATGCCTATGTCCTGAATGGTATTGCCTAGGTTTTCTTCTAGGGTTTTTATGGTTTTAGGTCTAACGTTTAAGTCTTTAATCCATCTTGAATTGATTTTTGTAAAAGGTGTAAGGAAGGGATCCAGTTTCAGCTTTCTACATATGGCTAGCCAGTTTTCCCAGCACCATTTATTAAATAGGGAATCCTTTCCCCATTGCTTGTTTTTGTCAGGTTTGTCAAAGATCAGATGGTTGTAGATATGTGGCGTTATTTCTGAGGGCTCTGTTCTGTTCCATTGATCTATATCTCTGTTTTGGTACCAGTACCATGCTGTTTTGGTTACTGTAGCCTTGTAGTATAGTTTGAAGTCAGGTAATGTGATGCCTCCAGCTTTGTTCTTTTGGCTTAGGAATGACTTGGCTATGCGGGCTCTTTTTTGGTTCCATATGAACTTTAAAGTAGTTTTTTCCAATTCTGTGAAGAAAGGCATTGGTAGCTTGATGGGGATGGCATTGAATCTGCAAATTACCTTGGGAAGTATGGCCATTTTCACGATATTGATTCTTCCTACCAATGAGCATGGAATGTTCTTCCATTTGTTTGTATCCTCTTTTATTTCCTTGAGCAGTGGTTTGTAGTTCTTCCTGAAGAGGTCCTTCACATCTCTTGTAAGTTGGATTCCTAGGTATTTTATTCTCTTTGAAGCAATTGTGAATGGGAGTTCACTCATGATTTGGCTCTCTGTTTGTATGTTGTTGGTGTATAAGAATGCTTGTGATTTTTGTACATTGATTTTGTATCCTGAGACTTTGCTGAAGTTGCTTATCAGCTTAAGGAGATTTTGGGCTGAGACAATGGGGTTTTCTAGATATACAATCATGTCGTCTGCAAACAGGGACAATTTGACTTCCTCTTTTCCTAATTGAATACCCTTTATTTCTTTCTCCTGCCAAATTGCCCTGGCCAGAACTTCCAACACTATGTTGAATAGGAGTGGTGAGACAGGGCATCCCTGTCTTGTGTCAGTTTTCAAAGGGAATGCTTCCAGTTTTTGCCCATTCAGTATGATATTGGCTGTGGGTTTGTCATAGATAGCTCTTATTATTTTGAAATACGTCCCATCAATACCTAATTTATTGAGAGTTTTTAGCATGAAGGGTTGTTGAATTTTGTCAAAGGCCTTTTCTGCATCTATTGAGATAATCATGTGGTTTTTGTCTTTGGCTCTGTTTATATGCTGGATTACATTTATTGATTTGCGTATATTGAACCAGCCTTGCATCCCAGGGATGAAGCCCACTTGATCATGGTGGATAAGCTTTTTGATGTGCTGCTGGATTTGGTTTGCCAGTATTTTATTGAGGATTTTTGCATCAATGTTCATCAAGGATATTGGTCTAAAATTCTCTTTTTTGGTTGTGTCTCTGCCCAGCTTTGGTATCAGAATGATGCTGGCCTCATAAAATGAGTTAGGGAGGATTCCCTCTTTTTCTATTGATTGGAATAGTTTCAGAAGGAATGGTACCAGTTCCTCCTTGTACCTCTGGTAGAATTCGGCTGTGAATCCATCTGGTCCTGGACTCTTTTTGGTTGGTAAGCTATTGATTATTGCCACAATTTCAGATCCTGTTATTGGTCTATTCAGAGATTCAACTTCTTCCTGGTTTAGTCTTGGGAGAGTGTATGTGTCGAGGAATTTATCCATTTCTTCTAGATTTTCTAGTTTATTTGCATAGAGGTGTTTGTAGTATTCTCTGATGGTAGTTTGTATTTCTGTGGGATCGGCGGTGATATCCCCTTTATCATTTTTTATTGCGTCTCTTTGATTCTTCTCTCTTTATTAGTCTTGCTAGTGGTCTATCTATTTTGTTGATCTTTCAAAAAACATGCTCCTGGATTCATTAATTTTTTGAAGGGTTTTTTCTGTCTCTATTTCCTTCAGTTCTGCTCTGATTTTAGTTATTTCTTGCCTTCTGCTAGCTTTTGAATGTGTTTGCTCTTGCTTTTCCAGTTCTTTTAATTGTGATGTTAGGGTGTCAATTTTGGATCTTTCCTGCTTTCTCTTGTGGGCATTTAGTGCTATAAATTTCCCTCTATACACTGCTTTGAATGTGTCCCAGAGATTCCGGTATGTTGTGTCTTTGTTCTCATTGGTTTCAAAGAACATCTTTATTTCTGCCTTCATTTCGTTATGTACCCAGTAGTCATTCAGGAGCAGGTTGTTCAGTTTCCATGTAGTTGAGCGGTTTTGAGTGAGTTTCTTAATCCTGAGTTCTAGTTTTATTGCACTGTGGTCTGAGAGATAGTTTGTTATAATTTCTGTTCTTTTACATTCGCTGAGGAGAGCTTTATTTCCAAGTATGTGGTCAATTTTGGAATAGGTGTGGTGTGGTGCTGAAAAAAATGTATATCCTGTTGATTTGGGGTGGAGAATTCTGTAGATGTCTATTAGGTCTGCTTGGTGCAGAGCTGAGTTCAATTCCTGGGTATCCTTGTTGACTTTCTGTCTCATTGATCTGTCTAATGTTGACAGTGGGGTGTTAAAGTCTCCCATTATTAATGTGTGGGTGTCTAAGTCTCTTTGTAGGTCACTCAGGACTTGCTTTATGATCTGGGTGCTCCTGTACTGGGTGCATATATATTTAGGATAGTTAGCTCTTCTTGTTGAATTGATCCCTTTACCATTATGTAATGGCCTTCTTTGTCTCTTTTGATCTTTGTTGGTTTAAAGTCTGTTTTATCAGAGACTAGGATTGCAACCCCTGCCTTTTTCTGTTTTCCATTTGCTTGGTAGATCTTCCTCCATCCTTTTATTTTGAACCTATGTGTGTCTCTGCACATGAGATGGGTTTCCTGAATACAGCACACTGATGGGTCTTGACTCTTTATCCAATTTGCCAGTCTGTGTCTTTTAACTGGAGCATTTAGTCCATTGACATTTAAAGTTAATATTGTTATGTGTGAATTTGATCCTGTCATGATGATGTTAGCTGGTGATTTTGCTCTTTAGTTGATGCAGTTTCTTCCTAGTCTCTATGGTCTTTACATTTTGGCATGATTTTGCAGCGCCTGGTACTGGTTGTTCCTTTCCATGTTTAGTGCTTCCTTCAGGAGCTCTTTTAGGGCAGGCCTGGTGGTGACAAAATCTCTCAGCATTTGCTTGTCTGTAAAGGATTTTATTTCTCCTTCACTTATGAAGCTTAGTTTGGCTGGATATGAAATTCTGGGTTGAAAATTCTTTTCTTTAAGAATGTTGAATATTGGCCCCCACTCTCTTCTGGCTTGTAGGGTTTCTGCCGAGAGATCCGCTGTTAGTCTGATGGGCTTCCCTTTGAGGGTAACCCGACCTTTCTCTCTGGCTGCCCTTCACATTTTTTCCTTCATTTCAACTTTGGTGAATCTGACAATTATGTGTCTTGGAGTTGCTCTTCTCGAGGAGTATCTTTGTGGCATTCTCTGTATTTCCTGAATCTGAACGTTGGCCTGCCTTGCTAGATTGGGGAAGTTCTCCTGGATAATATCCTGCAGAGTGTTTTCCAACTTGGTTCCATTCTCCCCATCACTTTCAGGTACACCAATCAGACGTAGATTTGGTCTTTTCACATAGTCCCATATTTCTTGGAGGCTTTGCTCATTTCTTTTTATTCTCTTTTCTCTAAACTTCCCTTCTCCTTTCATTTCATTCATTTCATCTTCCATTGCTGATACCCTTTCTTCCAGTTGATCGCATCAGCTCCTGAGGCTTCTGCATTCTTCACGTAGTTCTCGAGCCTTGGCTTTCAGCTCCATCAGCTCCTTTAAGCACTTCTCTGTATTGGTTATTCTAGTTATACATTCTTCTAAACTTTTTTCAAAGTTTTCAACTTCTTTGCCTTTGGTTTGAATGTCCTCCCGTAGCTCAGAGTAATTTGATCGTCTGAAGCCTTCTTCTCTCAGCTCGTCAAAGTCATTCTCCATCCAGCTTTGTTCCGTTGCTGGTGAGGAACTGCGTTCCTTTGGAGGAGGAGAGGCGTTCTGCTTTTTAGAGTTTCCAGTTTTTCTGTTCTGTTTTTCCCCCATCTTTGTGGTTTTATCTACTTTTGATCTTTGATGATGGTGATGTACAGATGGGTTTTTGGTGTGGATGTCCTTTCTGTTTGTTAGTTTTCCTTCTAACAGACAGGACCCTCAGCTGCAGGTCTGTTGGAGTACCCTGCCGTGTGAGGTGTCAGTGTGCCCCTGCTGGGGGGTGCCTCCCAGTTAGGCTGCTCGGGGGTCAGGGGTCAGGGACCCACTTGAGGAGGCAGTCTGCCTGTTCTCAGATCTCCAGCTGCGTGCTGGGAGAACCACTGCTCTCTTCAAAGCTGTCAGACAGGGACATTTCAGTCTGCAGAGGTTACTGCTGTCTTTTTGTTTGTCTGTGCCCTGCCCCCAGAGGTGGAGCCTACAGAGGCAGGCAGGCCTCCTTGAGCTGTGGTGGGGTCCACCAAGTTCGAGCTTCCTGGCTGCTTTGTTTACCTAAGCAAGCCTGGGCAATGGCGGGCGCCCCTCCCCTAGCCTCGCTGCCGCCTTGCAGTTTGATCTCAGACTGCTGTGCTAGCAATCAGTGAGACTCCATGGGCGTAGGACCCTCCGAGCCAGGTGCGGGATATAATCTTGTGGTGCGCCGTTTTTTAAGCCCGTCAGAAAAGCGCAGTATTCGGGTGGGAGTGACCCGATTTTCCAGGTGCCGTTCGTCACCCCTTTCTTTGACTAGGAAAGGGAACTCCCTGACCCCTTGCACTTCCCGAGTGAGGCAATGCCTCACCCTGCTTCGGCTCGCGCACGGTGCGTGCACCCACTGACCTGCGCCCACTGTCTGGCACTCCCTAGTGAGATGAGCCCGGTACCTCAGATGGAAATGCAGAAATCACCCGTCTCCTGCGTTGCTCAGGCTGGGAGCTGTAGACCGGAGCTGTTCCTATTCGGCCATCTTGGCTCCTCCTCCCAATCATTCTTCTAAAAAACCTCAAGGAAGACAATAAATGCGTGCCTGCTCTGGGGAACAATCCTTTCCACCTACTCCTCTTGTCCAGGGATTCCATAAGACCACATATTTCAAATCTTTTACCTTTGACTCTTATGGAACCATCTTCTCCAAATTAAGTTTTAATGTTATGCCTTATCCTTTATTGTAAAATTATAAGAAAGGTCCCATAAAAAACAGTTCTGCATGTTGTAATACTATTATTGAAGATTCTGTCCAATGCCACTTCCATTTTAGGAGTCAATGCAATCTTCTAAGTATTTGACAACACTCTACTTGCCTTGACACTTCTGCCCACCTACTCCAAAAAGAAGACCCCACCTGTGAATTCTTAGCTCTACTCTTTTGAGAAAATGTCAATGGAAACACATCTGTCAGTGCTAGAGGGTAAAATGGGAGCATTATGAAAGAGCAAGTGTACTGCCAATGTCAAGATCAGTCCAGCTGCCTTGCTCAAGGTGATGGACATGCCTAGCACTCTTATGAGAGGGAGTTAGGCCTGGATGAAGTTCGTATTCTTGCCACATGTGTGAGAATCCTGGACGCTTGAGAAAGAATAAGATGGCTGACTTCTTTGCTCTGTGTTCCATGGACTATGTGGAAGCAGGAAGTAAGGGAAAAAGGAAGCAAGGAGCTTACTGGGTAAGAAGCCTAGCTTAGCTTGCTAGGTGGGATGGCACAGAGAGGGCAAGACAGCTGTGTTAAGAGCGGTCTGAATCAGCATACTGCTTTAGTCACATAGAGCAGGAAAGAAAAGAAAGAGCTGCATATGTAGGCAAGATGATTTTAAGCAGAGAAACCAACTAGAATTTTGGGGGAAAAAAATGAGAATTTGTTATGCTTTCTTCCTGGAAAGCAGCAAAGTCAAAATTTTATAACTAAATATGTTTTTATGAGCAGAATATTAGAACTTACCATGTTTCCCTTTTATCTTGCCAGCTAGAAAGCTAAGAATCTTATTCAATAATCACAAAAACAGTATGAATCCTTATTATTTGTGTAATTGTTTCCTAATTTCATATTTCTATTTTTAATTTGCTAAAAGGTAAGCATATCTGTAAATTAGTACTCTTTCCAAAAGAAAGATGTGTAAATGAATACACAAATAAATGTATGAAGGAAAAAATAATTCACAAACAGAAAAGCCAGAAAAAGTGCTTTTTCTTTTTCAAACTTTTTTTTTTCCATTTAGTCCCCTTACTTATATTCTTTCATGTTTCTTTCTTCTTGAAAATCATTCTGACAAGACTCAAGGGATTCTTCAGGAAACTAGAATAGAATTAAAGATTCAATTTTTTTTTTTCAAAACAAAAAAATGCACACAGGGGTATATTTGAAAGTCATGTGCTTAAGGAGGGTAGGTGGAGCAGAAGAAAGAAGAAGAGGTGGGTGTGGGGAGTGTCGAGAGAACTTCTTAAGGAAAATGAAACTTCCACTTGCATCTTTGTAGATGACAATCTGCCTCTGGTCTTATTGCTGGCATCTGCCTTAAAGCCAGTGCTTCAGGGTACAGCTAACTAGTGCCCTTTAGCCTCTGAGTCAGCATCACTGGAAGCAGCTTCCCTCTTACTAGCTTCAAGTCTTTTACTCTGTGTGATCTACAACAGATATTTATAGTCTAGAGTTTGTGTTGGTTTGGGAGAGGGGGCTTAATTTCTAAATTAAGTGTAAAAATCCATCTGTTGACAACACCCTGCAATCAGCTTAACTAAGTAGTGAAACAATTTCTCAAACAGAGCTGGATCTGAGTAAAGTGCCTGCAATGTCAGCTGGCAAAGAATATGGTAATGACAAGAAATGCAGATTTCTTATAAATTTCTGACTTTGCCAGTTACTAGGCGGGTGACTTTGGGCAGGTTATTTGATCTCCCAGATAGCCAGTATTTTACGCTGTAAAAATGGAGATAATGCCTGTTCTGTCTATCTCACAGGGTTGTTGTATATGTCAAAAGTGGTAAGTATAAGAACTATGCAAAGTATGATATAGAAAGTGGCATCAGTATAACAGCAATACATTCCGTTAAAATCTGACTTACATGGAGTAGGCTACAATGTTCTAGGGATACTAATGATTCCTAAACTCTCATGGTAGAACAAGGGGATAGAGAGAAGATCATCGGAGGGAAGCGTAGGTCAGGATTGTAAGGAAAATGCTCTGAAATAAGCTGACCATCTATCTGTCCAGAGTTTCCAGCCTGCTTTCAGTAAGCTCCCTCCATTCTTCATGCTCGTCTGAAACCTCCCAAATTTTAAGAAGTCATAAAGCTCACGACCATCTGCATGTATAAGGAGAGCTAGATGTGTTTTCTGGCAATGTTTTAAGACAAATACCTTTTATCACATATAAAACCCTTCTCATGCATAGTTATAGAGACAGTCTAAATCTGACCATCAGGGTCTTTACAATCTAAGCATAGTTTTGGCATATGTTGAAAGGGGGAAAACAGAAGTACAGATTTCAGGTTTCCACTTAATTGAATTAAGGAAAATACTTACACAGGTTGAGTATCCCAAATCCAAAGCTTTTTGAGTACTGACATAATGTTCAAAGGAAATGCTCAAGGCAGCATTTCAGATTTTGGAGTTTTGGATTAGGGACGCTCAACCCGTAAGTCTAAGGCAAATATTCCAAAATCCAAAATTCAAAACACCTTGGATCCCAAGCATTTCAGATAATGAATACTCAACCTGTAGTGAATCTATTAAAAAGTATTTATAAGATAAAATGGGTTTGAGATTTCTGCTTTGATTACTTGAAATACTCAAATAGTTTAGATTCCACTATTATCTCACTGACACTCTATGAGATTTTATCTAAGGTCTTAAATCACAATTTTATTATTTGTAAAAGAGGAATAAAGCATTGTATATTAATGTCCAGAATGTTTGAAAGGTTAGTTGAAAAATATCTTAATTCCTCAGAGGAAAAAAGATACAATACTATGTTTTATCTAAATTAGCATTAGAAAAAAAATCTTTCATTAGGTGTAAATATTGGCAATAGCAAAAATTACCTTTGAGGACTCGCAAGTAATATTGAGTTTCCAGAATGGACAAAGCCTATCACACTGAGGACACATTATGATCTTGCCACCAATATCAGGATGACAAACTTCTTTGCTAAAAAGAGAGAAATAAAACTTAATTTTAAAAAATTTAAAGCAGCATGATAAAATCTAATATCCATTCACAATAAGAAACAAAACTAAACCGATCTTGTAAAACTAGAAACAGAAGTGAACTTCTGTTACATAAAACTTTGTTACATAAAATTCATTAAAAATCATACTAAATGGTAAAACGCTGAAAGTAATTCCTTTAGGTCAGGAATAAAGCAAAAGATTCTGCTATCACTGTTTCTTTTCAGCTGGAGGTCTCTGCCAGCATTGTATGTCAAGTAAAATAAGGCCACAAGGATAGGCCAGGAAGAAAGAGAACTGTTATTACTAACAGATTACATGATTATCTATATAGATGACTTAATAGACCCTAAAGATAAATTATTAGAATTAATAAGTTGAGTAAAGGCCAGGTGCAGTGGCTCATGCCTGTAATCCCAGCACTTTGGGAGGCCGAGGTGGGTGAATCACCTGAGGTCATGAGTTCAAGACCAGCCTGGCCAACATGGCAAAACCCTGTCTCTACTAAAAATACAAAAATTAGCAGAGCATGGTGGTGCGTGCCTGTAATCCCAGCTACTCGAGAAGCTGAGGCAGGAGAATTGCTTGAACCCGGGAGGTGGAGGTTGCAGTGAACTGAGATCATGCCACTGCACTCCAGCCTGGGTGACAGAGTGAGACTCTGTCTCAAAAAACAAAACAAAACAAAACAAAAATAAGTTCAGTAAAGTTGGCTGGATGCAAAATCAATATACAAAATACACACAGGGATACAAAAAGGAATTATGTCCCCATACACCTGTAATCATTAGGAAATAATTCTTAAAAAGTACCATTTCAATAGTGTAAAAAATATAAAGTGTTCAAGAATAAATCTAATTCAAACTATGTTAAGATTTATAGGGAGAAAATAGAATTTTTCTGAAATGCAGTAAAGAAGGCCTACACTACCATATTCACAATTTGTAATAATCAATATTTAAAGATATTAGTTATCTCCCATTTAAGCTATAAATTCAGTGGAAAAGCAAAGGCTCAGAACAGTCAAAATACTTCTGAAGACAAAGGCATTATGGGAGAGGTTAAGAAAAATTGACCAACAGAAGAAAATAAAGACGTCAGAAACAGACCTCTTGCCTATATAAAAACTGATTTATACCAAAGCTGGCCAAGCAAATTAGTAAAGTGAGAACTGACATTTCAATAAAACGGGTCTGGTACAACAGGATATCCATATGAACAAACATAAAATTGAACCTGTAATCATATTCTATATACATCAATTCCAGGTAGAAAATGAGAATGCCAACGTACCAACTTATTAGAAAAAAAAATGTAGATAACCTCAGAGTAAGGAGAATTGCATAAACAAGAAACGAAACAGCATAAACCACAAAGAAAAATATTGATACATTCAAGATATTTTAAAAGAATGTCATTAAAAAATAACATTAAAGGGAGAAAAATATAAGCCACAAATTGGTAAAAGTTTTGCAGACATAAAAATGACAGGATTATTTGTCAGAGTATTTAAAGGACTCCTACAAATTAATACCAAAAAAAAAAAAAAAAACCCAAGTAACATTGCACGCTGCTCCCTTTGGAGAAGCCATTCAGATAGGCTAGGCTTGTATGTAACTAGGACTGGAGCTGTGCAGTTAGGTGGTCTTACAAATAACTAAGGAAAAACAAATAGGAATGGGAAGCTTTCCTAGAATAGCTGAGTAAAGATCTTGGAAAACCCTCTCCCTCCATAAAAGCAATGAGAACACTGGCAAAAATTGTCAAAATCAGCCTTTGCAGAACTCTGGAAATTAACCAAGTGCTTGATGTCATCTGAGGAGCAAGTGCTTCATGTCATCTGAGGAGCAAGTGCTTGATGTCATCTGAGGAGCATTTATTTGAGGAAAACTGGCTAAATCTCTATAAGAATGATGACACCTGTTAACCTCACTGATTCCCATCCCCATCTCCCTAGCTTCATGGTAGCCTTAAAAACCAACAGCCTTGTAACTATAGAAGCTGTGAAAAATAGCAGCCTAGCAGCCACTGAAGGGGGAAGAAGTAGTCTAAAGCTACCCCCAAAACCCCATCCTCAGAGAAGTCTTACTATTTGACCTGCCTAGCAGCTCCCCCAAAAAGCTCCATGCGCAGGATTTGCCATTCTTTTTAAACCTCATACTCAGAGCTCATACTGTGAACAGCACTATCACCAAAGTGTTGAAAGCAATCGGCAAGAATTATTTTACATTGTAGCTGCTTGAGGCAGTGATACCGTAACAAGAGGTCAACCAAAGAACTTAAAAGGAAAAATTAGGAAATGAGATGTGCACAGGGGGCTCTAAAAAGCTCCAACATATTCCTGAGATTGCAGAAGGCCATGCACATGTGTAGGACAGTGCACATGGCCAAGAAAGACATGAGAAAACCTTAATCCCTTACCTCTGGCTGACTTTGAGGTTCTGCACTGGCAAGAAAAAAAAGCTAAGGAAGAGCTGAAAACTACCTGCTGGAGCGTTAAACACATTTCCTCAATACACACTCACACACAGCCATGAGATGAGGCAAAGGCAGAGAAACGAAAATTACTGGTACTAGGCATTTAATGCAGTCACCAGCTAATCCAATCATTAGCTAACAACAAAACTTATTGAACACAGACTTAAGTGGTCACACATGACAAAGACAAGTAGTTCAGGAAAGTAAACAAAGGGAAGCAGCAGTAACAGTGATAATAATAAACGGAAGCAACAACAAACCCTGAACAGGGAAAATACCTGATTTCCAGATTTGCTACATTATAATACTTAAAATGTCCAGTTCTCAATGTAAAATTACAAGATACACCAAGAAATGGAAAACTATGGTCCTAACACAGAGAGGAAAAAGCAGTCAGTAAAACTGTCCCTGAGGACACCCAGATATTGCATTTATTAGATGAAGTCTTTTTATATTTAGCAGTTATACATATTTGGAGAACTAAAGGAAATCTCACCTAAAGAATTAAAGGAAGCACAACAAAGAGAATATCAATAGAGATAGGAATTATTAAAAAGAACCAATTAGCAAAGTACAATAACTAAAATAAAAAAATCATTAGAAGGGCTCCTCGGCAGATATGAAATAGCAGAAGAATCAGCAAATTGAAAGCTAGGAATATTAAAATTATCCAATCTGAGAAATGGAACAAAAAAGGAATGAGGACAAAGGAACACAGTCTCAGAAATTAGTGGGATACCATCAAATATACCAACACATACATTATAGAAGTCCCAGAGAAAAAAGGAGAGAAACAGAAATAATATTTGAAGAATCAATGGCTGAAAACTTCCTACATTTAATGAAAGCACTATTTTGCATATCCAGGAAACTCAACAAATTCCATGTAGGATAAACTCAAAGAGATCCAAACCTAGGAGTATCACATTCAAAGTGTAAAGACAAAGCCAAAGAAATCATGGCAAAGAATGATGATAGCAGGAAGAGAAAAGTGATTCATCACATATAAAGGGTCCTCAGTAAGATTAGCAGCTAACTTTTCATAAAAACCATGGAGGCCAGAGGCAGTGGGATGATATATTCAAAGTGCTGAAAGAAAGACTGTCAACCAAGTATTCTATATCCAGCAAACCCATCCTTCAAAAATGGAGAAATTAAGACATTCCCAGATAAATAAAATCTGAAAGAATCTGTTGTTGGCAGAGACCTGCTATATTAGTCTGTTTTCACACTGCTGATAAAGACATACCTGAGACTAGTTCATTTATAAAGAAAAAGAGGTTTAATGGACTCACAGTTCCACATGGCTGGGAAGGCCTCACAATCATGGCAGAAGGCAAAAGGCATGTCTTATATGGAGGCAGGCAAGAAAGAATGAGAGTCAAGTGAAACGCGTTTCCCCTTATAAAACCATCAGATCTTGTGAGACTTATTCACTACCATGAGAACAATATGAGGAAAACTGCCCACATGATTCAATTATCTCCCACCAGGTCCCTCCTACAACATGTGGGAATTATGGGAGCTACAATTTGAGATGAGATTTGGGTGAGGACACAGCCAAATCATATCAGCTGCCCTACCAGAAACACAGACTGAACACCCTTTTTTCTTTTTTTTTTTTTTGAGACAGAGTCTCACTCTGTTGCCCAGGCTGGAGTGCAGTGGCGTGACTTCGGCTCCCTGCAACCTCCGCCTCCCGGGTTCAAGCGATTCTCCTGCCTCAGCCTCCCAAGTAGCTGGGACCACAGGCGCATGTCACCATGCCCGGCTAAGTTTCTGTATTTTTAGTAGAGATGGGGTTTCACTGTGATAGTGAGGATGGTCTCAAACTCCTGACCTCGTGATCTGCCACCCTCAGCCTCCCAAAAGTTGTGGGATTACAGGCGTGAGCCACCGCACTCAGCCCAGATTGAACACCTTTAATTCAAAAATCTGAATCTGAAATGGTCCAAAATCTAAAACTTTTCAAGTGCTGACATAATATTCAAGGAAAATGCTCAGTGGAGCATTTTGGATTTGGGATGCTCCAATGGTAAGTATAATGCAAATTTTCCAAAATCTGAAAAAAATCTGAAATCTGAAACGCTTCTGGTCCCAAGCATTGTGGACAAGAAACACTTAACCTATACTAAGAGAGTCCTTCAGGCTTAAATAGACACATGACAGTAACTCAAATCCACCTACAGAAAAAAAAAGCAGAGATAGAACTAACTACATATATAAATATGAAAAGTAGTATATTTTTGTATGTCTCTATTTTCTTCTATCTTATTTAAAAGACACAAAGCAACAATTATGAAACTGTTGGTAAGCTTATAATGCATTAAGTTGTAATTTGCATGATGATAATACCACAAAGGAGTAGAGAAGGAACAGATCTGTACCAAAGTAAAGTTTTTGTGTACTATTTGAAATTAAAATTGCCATTAATTCAAACTATATTATTTTAAATTAAGTTGTTAATTATAATCCCCAGGGAAGCCACTAAAAAAAGATAAAGAAACAATAATGGAATTAAAATGGCATACTAGAAATATCTATTTAACACACAAAAAAAGTAGTAATGAAGGAATAGAAAAACAAGAGACAAAAAGACACATGGAAAACAAATAGCAAAATGGCAGGTTTAACTCCTACTTCATGAGTAATTACATTAAATATAAATGAACTAAATATTAAAATCAAAAGGCAACAAGTGGAAATAAATGAAATACAGGACAGAAAAGTAACAAAAAAATCAACTAAACAAAGTTGGTTCTTTGAAAAGATAACAAAATTGGCAAACTTAGCTAGGCTGATCAAGAAAAAAAGAAGACTCAAAGGGTTAAAATCAGAAATGAAAAGGGAAACATTACTGTTACTCTTACAAAAATAAAAAGGATTATAAGGGGATACTATGCATAATTATAAGCCAACTAATTAGACAACTTAGATAAAATGGAAGAATTCCTAGAAAAATATGTACTACTTAAGGTAACTCAAGCAAAAATAGAAAACTTGAATAGACCTATTTTTAACAAATAAAGAGACTGGACTAACAGAAAAAAAATAATTCCTGCAAAGAAAAGCCCAGTCTCAGATGGTTTCACTGATGAATTCCACCTACCATTTAAAGAAGAATTAACACCAATGTTTCATAAACTCTTTTAAAAACAAAGAAGAGGGAACACTTCTCAACTCATTCTATGCGACTGGTATTATGCTGATACCAAAACCAAAGACAACATAAGAAAACTAGAGACCTAATATCTCTTGCAAATATAGATGGAAAAATCTTCAATAAAATACTAGAAAACCAAATCCTGCCATATAAAATAAGTACTACATACTATGACCAAGTGGGATCTATCCAGGAATGCAAGGATGATTCAAAGTACAAAAGTTATCAATTCTTGTAATATACCATATTAATAGAATAACGAACAAAAACTACACACAAGATAATGTCAATAGACACAGAAAGAGCATCTGGCAAAATCCAACATCATTCCATGATTAAAAACACTCATAAACTAGGAATAGAACTTTCCCAACCTGATAAAGAGTATCAATGAAAAAACCCACACCTAGTATCACACTTAATGGTGAAAGACTGAATGCTTTCCTCCTAAGATCATTATATTGGAGGTTCTAGTCAGGACAACTAGGTAAGAAAAAATAAAGTCCTCCAAATTGGAAAGGAAGAAGTAAAACTACTTCTGTTCACAGACAGTATGACATCGTATATAAAAATCCTAAGGAATCCACCCAAAATACTATTAGAGCAAATAAGCCAGTTTAGCAAGGTTGCAGCACACACACAAAAATCAATATACAAAAAAGCAATTACATTTCTATACACTACAATAGGTAATCCAAAAGTTAAATTAACGAAACAATTTATAATAGCATCAAAAGAACAATGTACTTAGAATAAATTTAAGAGAAAAAACAAGTATGAGACTTACACACTGAAACTATAAAATATTGTTGATAGAAATGAAAGACCTAAATAAATGAAAAGACATCCTGTGTTCAGGGATTAAAAGACTTAATATTGTTAAGATGGCAATACTCTCCAAACTGACCTATGGAATCAACATTATTCTTATCAAAATCCTAGAAATAGATAAGCTGATCCTAAAATTCATACGGAAATGCAAAAGACCCAGAACAGCCAAAACAATCTTGAAAAAGAAAAACGAAAATTTGAAGTTTACAAAGTTACAGTGATAAATAAAGTGTGGTACTTGCATAAAATGCAGACATGTAGATCAATGGAAAACAACTGAGTCTATAAACAAACTCTTAAATTTTTGGCCAACTGCTTTTCAACAAGGGTGCCAAGATAATTAAACAGAGAACAGTCTTTTCAAAAACGGTGCTGGTATACCCGGATATGGAAAATGATAAAGCAGGACCCTATCTCATACCATTTACAAAAATTAACTCAAAATAAATCATAAACCTACATCCATAAAACTCTTAGAAGATAAATGTTAAAAAAAACTTTATGACTTTGGATTACGAATGGTTTCTAAGACATGACACCAAAAGCACAAATAACAGAATAAAAGGTAAACTGGAGATCATCAAAATTAAAAATAATTTTGTTTCAAAGGATGCTATTAGGAAAGTGAAAACACAATCCATAGAATGGGAGAAAATATTTTCAATGTATCTGCTATGGTTTGAATGTGTCTCTTCCAATTTAGGTATTGCCAGTGTGGTAATATTAAGAGGTGGAGACTTTAACAAGTGATTAGGCCATGAGGGCTCATCCTTCATGAATGGGATTAGGTGCCCTTATAAAAGGAGTTGATGAGGGGAGTTCTCCCCACTTGCCCTTATGCCTTCTGCTATGTGAAGATGCAGCATTCCTCTCCTTCAGAGGATGCAGCCCTCACCAGACACCAAATGTCGGCAACTTGATCTTGGAATTTCCAGCCTCTGTAACTATGAAAAGTAGATTTCTATTCTTTACAAATTACCTGGTCTGTGGTACTGTGTTACAGCAGCACAAACAGACTAAGACAATATCCAATAAGAGACTTCTATCCCAAATATATAAAAAATGCTTACAACTCAACAATAAAAAGACAACACAACTAAAATAGGCAAGGGATTTGAACAAATTTTTTTCCAAAGAAGCTATACAAATGACAAACACATGAGAAGATGCTCACCATCAGTAGACATTAGAGAAAACAAAGTCAAAACTGCAATGACATACCACTTCATACCAACTAGAATGGCAATTTTTTTTAAGTGCTGATGAGGATGTGAAGATATTATTGTCCTCATACATTGCAGGTGGAATATGCAGTCACTTTGGAAAATACTATGACAGTTCCTCAAAATGTTAAACCTACAGTTACTGTATATCCCAACAATTCCATTCTTTGTTATATTCTCAAGAGATGTGAAACCATGTGTCTGCACAAAAACTTGTCCATGAATGTTCATAGCAGAATTATTCATAATAACCAAAGAGTAGAAACAACCCAAATGTCCATCAATTAATGAATAAACAATGCGGTTTATACACACATGGAGTATTATTTGGCCACAAAAATGAATGAAGTACTGATACATGCTACAACATGGATGAACCTTGAAAACAGTAGGTGAAATGAAAGAAGACAGTCACAAAAGGCTTTATAATGTATAGTTCCACTTTTATGAAATGTCCAGAACAGGCAAATCCATAGAAACAGGAAGTAGACTGTTGGTTGCCAGGGGCCAAGGGAAAGAGGGATTAGGGAGTGAGTGCTAATGGGCACTGGTTTCTTTTGAGGGCAATAAAAATGTTCTAGAATTAGATGGTGGTGATCACAACTTGGTGAATGCACTTAAAACACCTGAATTGTTTACACATTTTTAATATTTTCAATTTTATTACATACTGAGTAGATTCACAAGAATAGAAAACATTTAAAATATTTAAATACTTTTATGAAATGTCCAGAATAGGTAAATCCCTAGAAACAGAAAGCAAATAGATTAGTGGTTGCCAGGGGCTAAGGGAAAGGGGTACACCTAAATTGTGCACTTTAAAAAAGGTCATTTTATGGTATATAAATAATGTCTCTATATAACTGTTATTTTTAAAAGGGGGCATAAGGACCGGGCACAGTGGCTCACGCCTGTAATCCCAGCACTTTGGGAGGCCGAGGCGGGCGGATCACCTGAGGTCAGGAGTTCGAGACCAGCCTGGCCAAGATGGTGAAACCCCATCTCTACTAAAAATACAAAAATTAGCCGGGTGTGGTGGCGCAGCCTGTAATCCCAGCTACTCAGGAGGCTGAGGCAGGAGACTCGCTTGGACCTGGGAAGCAGAAGTTGCAGTGAACTGAGATGGCGCCACTGCACGCCAGCCTGGGCGACACAGCAAGACTGCCCCCACCACCAAAAAAAAAAAAAAGGAGGGACATAAGCTTTAAACAGGTATTTGATAGAAACTATAAAAGTAACTGAAAATATTTATAATTTAGATATTTTAAAGATATCTCATAATTAAATAATTAAAGCCAAATAGTTTTGAGCACAGGCAGTATATCCCCAAGAACTTCCCTCTATTTTCTGCAAATTAATCTGTGTGAAATGCTAGGAAATATGTGGTGTAACTATCATGGTGATTTTGTAAAATAAGTTATAACAAGAACAACCCATGAGGACCTTATAAAAATGCAACTTCTGCACTTTGAAATGTATTTTTGATTTTTTTTTTTTAAACTAGAACAATGTACAAACCAACAGAGAAGCTGAAGACAAATTTAGAGAAAAGGTAACAACATTCAGCCTTTGGCCCAAAACTCTTTTTCAGTGAGGAGGGAAGAGTACTTCAAAAGCCATCTGCAGCTTTCAAGCTAAGAAGCCATAATGGGTACAACATGCTCAGAATCCTCTGTTAAATCGAAGCGTAATTATGTCTATCCATCAGGGCTGCCATGTAAGCAACCTAACTCAGGAGCAGGCTGACATGCTTCAGGCTTGAAAAATTTGGTTATCAGCTCATTGCTGGTGCCCAGAAATTTTTATCTGGCTGGCACACCTGGATAGCAGCCAGATATCAAGAGAAAATCCTGGTTCCGTGCTGCATCCCTGCTGGAAGTTGAGACCACCAAAAGCAGAGGTCTAATAATACCATTCAGAATAGTGATGGTGAAATTTAGAGTGCTCTGGCACCCACATATGTCCCTTTAGAGAGTGCAGCTGGTGTTTGAATTTCAACCTCAGTACAAACTAATTTTTCACTACATTTTTTTAAACATTGTATGAACTATTTTTTAATGTAAAAACCAAAACAACTATTGAGTTTTTAAACAAGCACTTTTTAGTAGTAAGAAATCATTTCTAAAAGTAAAACAAAATAAAACAAAAAACAAAACCCCTCACTAATTTTCCCAGTGGAACCCTGAAGAAATCAGAGCTGCTTTTGGCTCACATCTGCAGGGCTGAGTGTACATTCCTCTAGGGGCCAAAAGTTCAAGGGCAATCCTCCCGCCTCCAGTCCTCCTTTCTTTTTCAAACAAAATATTGTCTTAAAATATTGGAGTGTTTCCTAGGGGTAATATTCATGTCAGACACTGGGTTGGATTATCTAAGAAAAAAATTTTTCCATTTCACTCAGTTATTGTGCTCAGAACAAAAGGGATATATCATCCCAAGCAATGAATGTTCTGCAGTCAGTCTTGTCTTACCAAAACAGTTTAAGACCATGAAAATAATTTTATGTCTAATAAACTTTTCAGCATGGCAACAAGGAATAAACAGAGGTTACCTCCATGTACAGTTATCTTGATTAAGATATCCATAGAGAAAGCAAGCCACTCCTACAACTGCGGCCAGGAGAAGCATCTGAGTGTAATAGCCCAGCCAAGCAAAGTAGATTCCAATCTTCTCTCCATAGTATTTCCTGAAGAAAGACAGAAATTATTTTTAGAAGATGCAAATAATTACTCCGTAGCTTCATCCTAATATTAATTTCTGATTTTAAATAAAGGAGAGGCTTTAAGCTTAAATCTGACTCAATTCACCCTTAAAACATTCATTTTCACAGCAGACCCTGAATTCTACGATGAAACAAAAAGTATATTACACATTATGGAAGAACTGATCACTATTGCTGGTTTGCCTGGTGAAAGTACATTAAAATACAGCAAGGGAGAGAAAAATGCTGATTATGGAATAAATACAGAGTATTACTATCATTCTTTGTAAAGACCAGCACTATTTTACACATTCTCCAAAAGACTGTTCTTTATATGCATGAGACAAATGAACATGAACAATCTGCTCAGTTATTTGCTTTTACTTAACTAGGGAAGTTCCTTGGAGAAAATGTAACGTAAGTCACAAATACAGTTGAGCCTTAAACAACACAGGGTTGAACTGTACGGATCCACTTAAATGTGGATTTTTTTTCAATAAAAGATAAACCTAGTGTGCCTGCCTCTCCTGCCTCCCCTTCCACTTCCTCCACCTCTTTCCCCCATCACCCCTGAGACAGCAAGAATAACCCTACTCTTTTTCCTCCTCCTCAGCCTACTCAATGTGAAGACAAGGATGAAGACCTTTATGATGATCCATTTCCATTTGGTGAATGGTAAATATACTTTCTTATGATTTCTTAATAACATTCTTTTCTTTAGCTTAACTTTATTGTAAGAATATAGTATGTAATACATATAACATTCAAAATATTTGTTAATTGATTGTTCATGTTATTGGTAAGACTTCCAGTCAACAGCAGACCATTAAAAGTTTAAAGGGAGTCAAAATATATATGCAGGTTTTCGACTGTATGTGTGTGCGGGTGTCACTGCCCTACCCCTGTGTTGTTCAAGGGGCAACTGTAATAATAAGAAAAAAAACCACTAATTTGTAGTGGAATGTCTCTCTGACCAAAATTTTTGCAAAACTCATGTGAGAATGAAAGAGGGAAGGATGCATATGATTGAGGAATCCATCACCCTGTATTCCTTATAGCTAGCTCTTCTATTTTTTCCTAAGTTTTAAAAACTGGTTAATGGTATACTCTGGGGTAAAACTGAAGAGGCCACGTAGGCAAGATTAAAGAGGGCAGGCTGACCAAGAAGCAGTGCCAAAATTGTTCCTGAAAGGAAGGTCAAGTACAGTTAGGCAGAAAGAGAGTTTAGGAATGAAGAGATGGTTCAGGTGACTGCTGCTGTTGCTGATATTCCCCAAGAATGACTCATTTCTGCCTTCATCTTGATCTGTACGATAAGGAGATTTACTTAACTCTGAGGCCTACGTGAGACTTCAGGCTCAGTATGGAGCTGGGCTGAACTCCTTGGTCTTAGCCTCGTGGGGACTTAGCTCTGAGCAAAACCTGGAGTCCTGGGAGACTTCAGACAGGAACATCCCTGGGCTGGACAAGCACTCACAGGGAAGGTCTGAGACCAGTTCCATGGGTCACAGGCCTGGGTGTAGTTCACATCCACAGGGAAAAAAGGAAGAGCTGAGACAGACCTGAGGGTGGAATCGGGAGATGGGAGGAACACAGTGGGCTGATTTTCACGTGACCGGAGCTTTGCTCTCTGGCTCATGGAAGGCAGGCAAACGGCAGGTTCAGGATACAGCCCGGGAGAGAAGTCTGGCCATGGGTTTGAGACGCCTTGGCCTCTTTTTGGTTATGCTTTCTGTAATAAGTTTTCATCAGCCATCCATCCTGGAAATGCCATATTTAAATTGGAAAGAATCTTAGAAGTTGCCTGGTCCAAGCTCCCAATAATAAAAAAAATCCTGCTGTATTTAAAGAGCTGGTCAGGCAGTCTCTGCTTGGTTATTTACTGTGACAAGGAGTTCAATACTTTCTAAGGCATCCCTGTTACATTGTAGGCAAGGCCAGAAAGATTTTTCAAATCTCAAAAGGAAATCTGTCTCTTAGTTCTTGCTGAAAAGCTGGAAATAATGAGGATTCCTTCAAATGCAATATTTTCTGATCATTGTCCCTCTCTGCCAAACACCTCCCAACTCTTAAAATCAATTTAACAAAATTCAGCTTTGATTTTTTAAATCAAAGTTACAAGTATACAGTCATTAGTCTAATAGCTCTAGAAGGCTGGTTATAAAAAGGAGCAGTCCCCTACCCCCTCCCCTATTTCCTGCTGCCCAGAAGCAGTCACTTTAAACTTTTATAGTTGATGCTTAGAATATTTACTTCCCTATCTCTAAATAACATGCGAGAAGTGCTGTTTATTGATTTTTCAGTTTTATGCATCACCTATTGACTTTCTATTCTGGAAGATGTGGATTAAGCTCTCTTTCAACTCCTTGCCTCATCTAAACATCCACATCTCTATTCCTGCCATCCTGACATAGTTACATTATAGTTTTTGGTTAGATTAATATTCTTGCTTTACATTATTATGATTCTATAAACACTATTCACAGCTGAATCAAGTCACTGCTATAATTACTTTTTCCTCCCTGCTCAATATCTTGTTCTCCCTAGAGTTAATAATTGTCTTGATGGTTCATTGCTTAGTTTTCTGTGTACTTATCAGCAATTCAACCCCAGACTCTCCCCTAATGTGTAACTTTCTCAGTAGGCTCAAACACATGAGATTGTCTTTCAGTTTCAACTCCTTGAATAAATGCCCTCAGACCTCCTCCAACCTTGACTGATGACTCTCCAAGCCCCATCACAGAACTGTGTCACCTGGGATCTCTCTGTCCCTCTCTCTTGTGCTGGCATTTCCTGCATTTCCTGTTTACTAACTCTTAGGTCTTCCTTCTTGGTGGAGCACCTCCTCCATTACCTTGCACATCTAAACTGTGAAAATTCCTCATACTTAACAGTTTGAGCATACATAGAGTTACATATATATGGTCAAACTTTCCTTAGACATGTGAAGTTACTGCTGTCTTTCAGTGTGTAGTGTCATTGAGAAGCACAATGCTATTGAGTCTTGATCCTTTGTATGATTTTCTTTTCATTTTGCTTTCCAAAGGATAGCAGGATCTTTGCTTTGTCCCCAGCGTTCTGAGCTGCTGTGTTGGAGTGACTCAGTGGCTCTATTTTCATCCTCTAGGCTGGGTACTCAGCAGGCTCTTTCCACCTAGAGACTCATGATGTTCAGTTCTTCAGATACTTCTCTGGAAGTACTTCTCAGATTTCTTCCCTACATTTTTTCTCCCCTGGTTTCTCACAATCCTATTATTTATACATTGTACCGGCCTGGACTGATCTAATTTTTTATCTTTTCCCCCTTTTCTATCCCTTTATAAGTTTTGCTCTATGCTCTGCATAATTTCTTCAACTTCATTTTTCTAATGCGTTCTATTGGTGTTTTTCTGTCTAATCACATTTTCAGTTTCCAAGAGCTAGATTTTATTCTCACAACAATCCTTTTTTATAGGACCCTGCCCTTGTCTTGTGAATACCCTATTTTCTTTTATTACTCTGGAGGTAAAAACGGGAGTTTGGAGGGAAACTTTTCTTTTTTACCTGTGCAAAGTCTGGTTCCCCTAGGTTGCTGTTTCCAGTTTGGTTTGCTTTTTGGGAACAAAATGGAAAGAGCCCATTTTCCCTTCAGTAATCCCTGGGAACCATAGATGAGGTTTAATAGCCTGAATGCTCAAGGGGTTACTAGTGGGAAGCAATGAAGGGAAAGAACATGTGGACCAGGGACAGGGGATAGTAAATGCATTTCCTCTAGCAAAATATATTTAAAATAGTTGGGAAGTTTTCTTTACTAAAGCAAAAAAAATAAAAGAGCACATAAAAAATGATTAAGAACCCATCACTCTGTTATCAGATGCTATTGGTTTAACATAAAAGGAAATTAATAAAATGGAAACTTCACATGAATGTCAACCTCAAATATTTACATATGTACAAATATCTTTTAAAATCTTATTTTACAGGGTAAACAGAGTTAATGAAAGTGCCTCTTCATGACTGTAATCTCGGTGATAAAAATGAATGACAAGGGAATCCGAGTATGACCATATAAAATAATGAAATCTCTTATGAAATAATGAATCTAAGTAATGATCGTTGATAGCTGCTATCATAACAAAAGAGACAACTGAACATTATATACCTTCTGATATAAGTACTCAACTCCACGTATCACGTATTCTTGTATAAAATCTAACCTCAATCAGATTAAGCTTCTAGATGAGGATCCAATTACTACTTAGCTAATGCAACTACACAAATTACTTAGTTATAGCAAATACAGAGGAACATGTTCAACAACACCACAGGAGAGAATGAAATCAGCAAAATAGGGAATGAAAGGCATTCTTTCAACAAGAGCAAGGAAAACAAGAAATAAACAGTGAAACTGAGACCAGAAGAAATTTGAGAGATTGTATTAACTGCAACCTCTTGACCATGTTTGGATCCTGCTTTGAACTAAAAAACCATTAAGTTTTTTTGGGGACAATAAGGGAAATCTGAATCCTGATTATCTGATGATATTAAATAATTTTTTTTTTTTTTTTGGAGACAGGGTCTTACTCTGTTGCCCTAGAGTGCAGTGGCACAATCATAGCTCACTGCAGCCTCAAACTCCTGGACTCGAGCAATTCTCCCTTCTCAGTCTCCTGAGTAGCTGGGACTACAGGTGTGAGAGCCATCGTGCCTGGCTTTTTTTTTTTTTTTTTTTTTTAAGACTGGATCTCACTATGCTGCTCAGTCTGGCCTTGAACTCCTGGCCTCAAGCGATCATCCTGCCTTGGCTTCCTAAAGTGCTGGGATTAGAGGAATGAGTCATCTCACCCAGCCTTCCTTTTCAAAAGGGGGTATTCTGGTTATGTTTAAGAGACACCTTATTTAGAAATAGAAGCTAATGAAACGACGTGACATTTGGAATTTGCTTCAAAATGATCCAGTGGAGTGGGGAGGGAAAGAAGTGGGAGTAAAAGTGAAACAAGATTAGCTATGAGTTTATAATTTTTGGAGCTGGGTGACAGATGAATGCAGGCTTGCTATGATACTCTATTTCTGTATATATTTAAAATTTCCCACGGTAAATGTAAAACAAAACAAACATTCATTTGTTTAAAACTCTCACTTTTAAGGTCTAGTAGTTTTCTCAAGTAGGTGGCAAGTGCATGGGGTGTTGAGACACCATAAAAAAACAGGTACGTGGCTCCAGACAGACATGAAGTTAACTCTCCTCTCCTCGTCACTCTCCACATCCAATCCATAAACAAGTCCTGTCGACCCGACTCCCCAAACACATCCCAAATCTGCTCCCACAGTCTTCTGCCTGGCTCAAACAGCCTCCTACCTAGTGGTCTCCCTGCTCCCTGTACCCCTTATAATCCATTCTCCACATTATCTGCAAAACGTGAATAGGATACAATGACTTAAACATTTAAAATATTACAACTGCTTCTCACTGCAATTAAAGTCTAAACTCTTTTCGGCGCTCCTGCCACCCCTCTAACTTCATGTCTTGCTCTGTTTCTCACTAGCACTGGTCTCTGATGTTTCCTCAAACTTGCCAAATGTGTGTGCATCTCAGGGCCACTGTACAAGCTGCCCCTATTCCTAGAAGGACTTCTGCCAAGTCCTCAAAGCACTGGCTCCTCTTCACTATCCGATCTCAGCTTAAAAGTCACCTCCTCAAAGATAACTCCCTCAACTCACTTCCCACTCTGCCCTCCCATCCTATTGCTCTGTTATTTTCTTCACTTCCATTAGAAATTCTGTTTATTTATTTTCATGTTTTATTGGCTTGTTTGGGTGTTCTTGGTCTATCTCCCACAAGCCAGAATCCTCAGCCCTGCCCAAACAACGTAAGCTTCTGGAGGAAAACCAACAGGGTACCTTGGGAAGAAAAACTCTTGAGCTAGTCATTGTATCTTGTGAGATACAACGAAATAGAACCTAGAGGCAGACATAAGAAAAGAGTGAAAATGTACATGTCTTACCATACAATAGAAACTACATCTAACATTTACTTCTGTGCAATATGGAATTTGGTGGGTCTGCATCCCAGTTCCTGGGCGGTGGGTAACCTCTAAACCCTTGGAACTTCCTGAGAGATAGGAGTGCCTTTTTATTCACAGTGGGACCCTAGGACTACGCCTGATAGTTTATGCCAGTGAAGTGGCTCATGGTGGACCTCTAGAGAGTTTGTGCTAATGAGATGACTCAGGGTGGAGGCTGGCCATGCCAGAAGATCAACCATGTGATTGGAGAACTGGAGCTTTGAGCCACATATTACTGGCCATCTTCCAGGGGGAGGATGATACTGGAGATGGGTAATGATTCAATTAATCATGCCCACATAATTAAGCCTCAATAAAAACCCTGGCCAACGAAGCTCAGCACTCTGGGTCAGCTCCCTTCACTGGCAAGAGTCTTGATGAGTACTGTCACATTCAGATGCTGTGGGGGTAACACCCTGAGTGCCTCCCCCTGGAGTACTCCCTACAACCCCTCACCTGATAAGATCCAAGGGCTGCTTTTTGTATATGCTTCGAGGATGAGCCCATTCTCTGTACAGAAGGTACCGTTCATTAGGGCAGCTGGGATCCTCTGACTGACGGCGGAATTTGCACTGTGACGCAGAAGGGAACATGTAAGCACCATAATCATCGTGTTTTCACAAATCTGCTTCTTAAATGTGATACAAATACTTGATAGTCAATTGTGAACAAGGGGTCCTCACCTTCTGGAAAGGGTGGAAATACCATCTAATTTTTAGTGATTCTTAACCAGGCATGGTACTACCCTCCTTGGGGGTCATTTATGAATGTGGGCAGGGATGAACGATTGGGTGTTACAATCCTGGGGAGCACTGCAGGGACTCTGTGAGGGCCCCAGAGATGCTTAAAATGCTTTAAGTGGGGCAGTCCTACACAATGAAAAATTGGGCCACCCAAGTGCCCAAATCACCACACCAGAGGAACACGTGATAACCCACCCCTCTCCTTGGACAATGGGGAAACCAAGGCCTTGGCTGGTTAGCAGCAGGGTCAATTCTAAAACCTAGGCTTCTTTGCCCCCAGTTCAGCAGTTATTCTGTGATAACATACAGAAAACAAACAATAAAGCTGGGTATCATGTTACACACTTAGCTTATTCAAGAAACAAAACTTCCTGCTTAAATCCAGTTGCCTTTTTTTCTGACTCATTTTTCTTCTTCTGGCACTAGAACCAGATTACCACCCAGCCAAATCAGGGCACAGGCCCTGACCTTCACACACCTCCCTCTCAAATACCACATGGGACCATTTGTTAGCCTGAATACAGGACCACTGCAATTAGAAGAGGCTTTAGTGGAAAAGACATGGCCAAAAGCAAATGTCAACTGTTAGAGAACCCTGGCATCCCAAATTAATATTCGTGACAGCTATTTGCAAGTGGCCTCAAAATTCATGTCCTGTTATTCGCAATTAGCTAAATTCAGTGGGGCACAAAAGTAAAACACATGGACTCTCAGGCTGGATGGCTACATTGGGTCTCTTAGGATCAGTATTTACCTCACCCAGCTCCCTGTTCTCTACTTTTCCATGTGTATCAAGCTGCTGTTTAGTGTCCTAGTTTTATTATGTTATTCAGTACATTTCAATATCGTCTCTATCCACAAATACATGTACTACACAGTAGCAATTACCAATCTCAGTCTTTACTTTCTTTGGTCTTACACAGTCAGATAAATTGATAGTGAATATAACAAAGTAATAATGCAATATAATATAGTATTTAATTTATTTCAATGACAGAGTTTAAACAGCTTTAGTTATAATGTCCCTGCATTTACAGTGGTCACATTTTAAAAATTTCATTTCACGAGAGATGTTCTCGGCTAGAGAAGTACTCTTGAATTTGAGGGGTTGCTGTGGTCTCAGAATGTAGTCCTTAAAAAAATGTCAACCATCTGGGGTACTGCCATTGTCACAACAACCCTGACAGATGCCTTTTTAAAAGCCCAGGGATATTCCAGGGGACAGTTTGAAAATCGTATTCCAAATGAGGAAGAAAAGTCTATGTTGCAGAAAATGATAAATGAGAAGGTCTAACATGTATTTTGCTGACAAAGAACTAATCTTTTCTGGTTGATAATAACATCTGTTAGTAATTATGAAAACAGCTAACACTTATAATAGTATTTATTATATGCTAGGGACTAACATTTGGATTAATTTAATGGATTAATTTAATCCTCTTAACAACTCTAGGAGGTAGGTAATAATTTATCCCCAGCTTATTGATGAGGAAATGGAGGAAGAAAGGCTAAATGACTTTCACAAGGTCATCCAGCTAGAAAGTGGCAGGGCAGGCATTTTGGTCTCAGAAATGCTAACACAGATTAACTGCTAATCTATACTGCTTTACACATTAACTGTGAGAGAGGTCCTGTCCATTCATTCATTCGCTCCTTTAAAACTGAGTATCTTTATAACTGGGATCCATCTGTGAACAAAAGACCTAGTTCTTACCCTAAATGAGCTTGTAATCTTGCAGTATGTTCCCTTCATTTTACTGAGGAAGAAACTTACAGTCAGGAAAGTTAGCCCTTTGCTATTGTCAACACCAGAGTATACAGAAGGCCTTTTAGTTCATTTTTGCCTTTTAACTTACATCATGGAGTGGGAAAGCTGCCTTGTAGATCCCAGAGTTTACAAGTCTGTTGATCCCAAACTTGCTAACATTGTTTATCACTTGATACTTGACCCGAGAGAGGATGAAGTAAACCTAAAAAGATTCCAAAATAGAGTATGCGGTTTATATAGTGTAATTAACCAATCCAATCATTGTTTACTACTGTAACACAAATCTGCTGGCATATTTCTTTTCTTTTTGTGCAGTTTTTAAAAATAAAACCAAACCAACCAAACCACAAAACAGCAGGTTCCAAATTACCCCAAGACAGCAACTAAATTTGGTTTAGACTTACAATGCGGCTTCTGGTGGCTGGATTGAAGAAAGCATCTCTATCAACTATGTAAAAATCATTCATCCGGTTCTTCTCAAATGGGGCAGTGAAAAACTCTTGCTCTGGCTTGATGATGCTTTCGTCTACACTGAGGACTTTGGTAAACCAGTTGAGTGTACCAAAGGCTGAGGACCGGTTTTTCAGATCATTGGGTTTCAGAGGCAATTTGATGTGCATTATCTCAGCATACGTACATAACACCTCCCATGGTGCGTGTACTTTTACAAATACAAGCTTGTCATCCAATACCTATATTGGAAAAATAAAAACGCAGAACAAGAAACCAACTCTTTTCACAATTTTAAAACACATAGATTTTTCTTATGTTGTTGGTAGCTTTAAAAAAACAATACAGAGACCACCACTAAAAGTGAAGATAACAATAAAAACAGATTTGCAAACCATCATAAATTTTTGTCTTAAAGACGATTTCTTGGTTTGAATCATTAAGGAAGTAATTCAAATCATCATAGTTCATAAAACTATGAAAATAATTTATAAAATGAAGAAAACCAAACTTATTTGTCTATCACTCTACCCTAATTATTGACTTAAAGTAAAAACACTAGAATATTCATTGTAGTGCTAGCATAATGAAAAATTTTTAATTTTCTAAACCTCGAATGAACTTATTGTCTATCTGTTCAATATCATATTATGTGGCTGTTAAAAATGTCAAAGAATTATATTTATTGACATAAATCCATTTGCTATATATTAAAGGGAAAAAGCAAATTATAAAACTGTGAAGTGGTAATTTTCTCCTTTTTGAAAGATAAAAAATGTGTACATATATATTTTTGAGTAAAACAGCTCAGAAGGACTGCAAAATTATTTATGGATAATTAAGATACAGATTATTTTCCTTATTCTTATGTTTTCTAATTTTTTACCATAAACTATTTTTTGTATAACAAAAAAGCTTTTAGAAGTTTCTTAAAGAAAGAAAATAATCATTCATACATGCATTCATTGTAAAATTCGTTGGCTATTAAAAAAGATCTGCTAGTTTTGATCAGAAAAAAAGAATACATCCTACACAATGCAGATTTTGATTGACTCCTCTCCCAGTCTATGACTAAGATGTGGCCAGGGCTGCATGTTTCCAATGTCACCCAAGTATTCCAAGTGGCACGAAGCTGCCCGAGAACAGTGGTCAGCCGAGGGCTGAAAAGGGACCAGTACTTACTGATCTTGTTGCTTCTAACTGCAGGCCATGACAGATAAGGTTAGATTCGTATGCTTGTCTTTTCCTCTGTCAAAAGAAGTTGGAATATATGTTAGACCTTTAGTTTACCAAAGGCAGAAAAAGGCATTTTTTAAAACAATATTAATAACAAAATCAAACTAGCGTGGACCTGAAAAAGAAATGCATCAGCATTTGGTCAAGCAAATGGAATAGAAGAAATGAAGCAGCTCTTGCTGCTGGTGACATGTAAGTGTTGGATCCCCAAGAGAATGCCGTGGAGGGTACTTCGATGCCCTGGCACCCTGGAAGGCCCTTGGCTGTCCTGGTGTGGTTTCAGTCATCTGAGGTAAATAACAGTATCCTGCTTTGACACAATCCCACGTACTTTTTGGCTCATAAAAGCATACAAATTGAGCTTTCTGAGTCCTATTCACTGATACGAGTTTTCAGAGTTGAAGATTCCAGATTTTAAAAATTTGGTTTCCATACCAGACATTCAAATGGTTCAATTACTGGATGTGTATGCGTCATCCCTGCATATCTTGACCAAATTCAATAAAACAACACAGGCAATTTTGGCAAAATTCAGATAATTTTTTTCTCTCTGCAAGACTGAGATGTTTGTGAAGCTATGTCTAAATCCATAAAAATAGTGAACTAAATTGATATCTATATTACATGGCCATTTCAAAAGATACAGAATATACTACACTTATGGATATTAAATTCTAGATGCCTAGGCTTTTGCCAAGCTGTGCCCAAAGTTGTAAGGGAAGCATGCAAAGATGGAGACTTGTTTGACCTTTTAAAAAGAATGCTTTTCATGACAAAACAGTTTATACTGCTTTGTGAAATGAAGAAAATGAGTAGACACAGAGGTTAAGAACACAAGCTCTGCTATGGTTTAAATATGTCCCCCAAAAATCATGTTAGAAACTTAATCCCCAATGCAACAGTGTTGAGAGGTGGGGCCTACTGAAGGGTAATCAGGCCACAAGGGCAGACTTAACAAATTAATGACATTATCACAGGAGGGAGTTTATTAGCATGGAATGAGCTCCTTATAAAAGTTTGGCCCCCTTTTGTTTCTAACCCCCCCGCCCCATTTTTGTTTCTCCCTACCACCTCTCTCTCCCCCACCACCGTGGGGGTGACACTGCAACAAAGTCCTCACCAGATGCCAGCCCCCTTGATCTCAGACTTCCCAGCCTACAGAACTGTGAGCCAATCAATTTCTGTTCTTTATAAATTAGTCTGTGGAATTCTGTTACAGCAGCACAAAATGGACCAGAATGAGCTCTGTAACCACACTTCCTGGGTTCAAAATCTGATTTATTATTCATCAACTCTATGACCCATGACAAGAAAATTAAACTCTCCATGCCTCATTTTTCTTCATCTGTAGAACTAAGAAAACCCACTTGTTTCCTTTTTAGGGTCTTGTGAAGATATGATTTAAACTACATAAAGCACATGAAGTAGAATTTTCATTTCCAATAGTGACAAAAGGTAACTTGGGGCAAGCCTTACACTGAAGACAGCTGAAAACGCTGGGTGGAATATTTAGCACAGCAGTTAACAAGACAGAGAGGAACTGCTAGGTCCAGGTCGAGATCATCTAGTGGGTCTGGCAGTCAGACACTTTACCCAGGGAACAATACTCATGATCTGCCCACTCTAAAGGGACAGAGTGGGGATGAGTTGCTGTGCTATGCACAGGGCCTAGAACATAAAAAAAATCCCATAAACTAGAAGTAGGTGAAGCTGCAGGAAAAAGACCAAAGGTCAAAAAGTAAAAGAATATACCTGGTATTTGGCTACATTTGAGTCCAAGTGGAATCCCTGATGTATTGTGTTGAAGTATCAGAAAAAGGATATTGCTTTGTTTTTATATCTTTAATAAATGGTTGTACAGTACTTAAAACATGCCAGACACTGTTCTAAGAGCTGTTCAGATATAGTACATTTAACTATTGGCTGCAATTTGAACATACAATAGAGTAGCAGAGGAAACCAGCAAGTGGTATAACTTCCCTAAACACAAGCAAATGGCCTAGAAATGCCCCACTCAGATAGGGGTAAGGAGAGTTTGAGGTATAGCTTTCCTACTCCGCTCCCCAAAAGTGACTGTTCCCTCTGGGTGTCCCCTTCCCCACCAGCTCCGCAATTCATCCTGAGAAGTTCTTCAGCACTTTCCACCCCTGACCCACCATATTCCCAACTTGAACTTGAAAGTTGACTCAGATTCATTCTACTTCTTATCTAAGCAGTACTCCTTCCCTCTAAATCCTAATCCTCTCATTTTGATTCTTACATAGGAGCCCAGTCCTTATTTCTGACTGATTACCTCTTTATTATTGGGTAAAGCATTTTGATCCCACAGACAGCATTCACCAGTATATGCCCGACATGGTTTCGATTTGTGTCTTTGCCCAAATGTCATGTCGAACTGTAATCTCCAATGTTAGGGGAGGGGCCTGATGGGGGTGATTTAATCATGGGGGCGGATTTCCCCCCTTGCTGTTCTTGTGATAGTGAGTTCTCACGAGATCTGGTTGTTTAAAAGTTTGTAGCATCTCCCCTTTGCTCTTGTCCTCCGACTCCAGATATGTAAGATGTGCCTTCTTCCTCTGCCATGATTGGAAGTTTCCTGAGGCCTCCTGTACAGCCTGCAGAACTGTGAGCCATTTAAACCTCGTCTTTATAAATTACCCAGTCTCGGGTAGTTCTTTATAGCAATGTGACAACTAATACAATGCCTAACACATATTTGTTGAAAGAATATACTCAACAAGCATTAGTTCATTTACAAACATTTCTTGAGTGCCTTTTATTTTGCAGGCATCCTGCAAAGTACTGGAGACTGAAAGAATTTAAAATAGTCTGCTACAGAGGAAATATAGAGAAACTTAGCATCCAGTGACCTAAGACTTTCTCCTGATACAGAATGACTGAAACGTTTATTCATGTGCTTTCTGGCACTGTAATGGACATCTGTCATTCTTTATGGACACCCATTTTAAACTCCTACAAGAGCCCACATCCATTATAGCAGATAAAAACACAGACACTCCTTTTCGTGGTCTCCCATGAAATTCAGCTACTGGCACTCGAGCTAGGCCCCGCCAACCAGACTACCTGGCTCCAGGCTCCAAATTGAATGCTAGTGATGCAAAGCCAGGCCAAGCAGAATACATTCTGGGGTGGCTGAGAGAGCAAATGCCAGTTCCAGAGATGGTAGAGGTTACGGCAGGAGCTGTCCATAGCTACTGCTAGTCAGTGGTGCCAGCGGTGCTGGCAGCAGCCCTGTGCTCAGGACAGCAACTGTGCTTTTTCTCCTGTGGCAGGATTTAAGGTACTGCTTCTGGCTGCCTATCTCTAACCTTATTTATCTAACCCATCAGGAGAATTTGTGAGTTCTCTAACATTTTTCTGATAAACTCCTGATCTGCTTAAATTACAGCTCATTTATGATACTGGTAAGTAAGAATCCTGACTAACAGAGTGGTTGCAAACTAGGGAAAACGTGTTAGACCAAAACCTAAAACATGGTACAGTAGAGGGATGGAGTATTCTGAAAGGACCAGACACTGTGACATTCTTTCCTTCAGGGGAGATGACTCACCCTGAGGCTGTACAAAGGGCAACCCAGATGGTCTCACTAGCAGGTCATAGCAGGATCCATGCCTGTGTCTTTGGTATCCTCTAAAATTCAGTCATGAATTTCAGTTAGCATGTGAAAGCTCAGGCCCAAGAATTTTAGCTCTTGGAGACAAATGTCTTCATTAGAAGAGTAGGAGAATCAGTCAGAAGAGGGTCTTCTCCAGTGGCTTGATGAGTGTTTTAACAATAAGTGCTGGTAGGGAAAAAAATCATGTAACTCTGTTCAATGGCCTTATTACAAATTCATGGTTCCCATCACAGTTGGGCTGTCTCCTTCCTGGCCCCTAGCTATCCACTAGGGAGCTGTTCCAAACTTTTAAGGTGCTCCTTACGCTCATTACCTAACTTCCAGCCCAGCATGCTCGCAAGTGACCTCACCTCCTTCCTTACAGAGAAAAGGGCAGCCACTCACTGGAAATTCCTGCCAGTCTCTTTCTTTCTACCTATCAGTAGTTGGGCACCACCTCTCTTCTTGGTGTCAGAAGTCTATCCTTTCATCTCTCTTCTTGAGCTTACTTGGGCAATACCTCCCATTTTTCTCTTCATTGCTCTTACTCCTCTGCCAAAAAACACCTTAAATGTTTCCCAATGTTAAGAATATTAAATCCTCCCATGGCCCTGCCTACTGTTCAATTACTGCCCTTACTTCAGTGGTGTCTTTTAATCTTGATATCATTAACACTTAAAACAAGCCTATAACAGAGTAAGCACACAATAAATGTCTGATGAATGAATAAACTGAGTGAATAGTGGATCGATGACTGCCTGTTAAGCCGGAATGAACTAAGGAGTGTAAATGGCTGCAGTGCAGCAACTGCAGCCCCCCAAATTTTCTGAGCCCCCCAAATTTTCCATGTACTTTTACTTATGGCTATTACAGGACATGGTGTAGAAAGAGAGATGCAGTTTAATTCTGAAGTACACCAACACCAGATAGAGAGCATAGGGGCATCCACAGCATGAAGTGATTCCTGGACGCTTCAGAATTTGAATTACCAGATGACAAAAGGAATGAGGCTTAGACAGCCCAGAATGAGCCAGCCCCACACGAGGGCAGTTCTGTCAAACATACCAAACACAAAATATTTCTGTCTTGGTTGTATCAGCTGTATCAGCTATGAATGCAACATGCTGAATAGTGCAAGTCAGACATGTACCTTCTTGATGGAGTTTCTAAACTGAGGCTACAACTCATCACCTTCAAGGGACTCTCTCTTCTCGGATTTTGTTCCAACAAACAGCCCCTGTAGCTCTTGCAGTTTTGGTTTTCCTGTTACTCCTGGGCATAGTGGCTAGATTCAGAGTCAAAATGGAAATCCTGACTCTGCCATTTACTAGCTCTGTGATGTTTGGGCAAATAATCAACTCTATAATCATCAGCAGTTTCATCTAAAAGATAGAGGGAAAAAACAGCTTCATTTTGGGATTGTTTTAAGGATTAAGCATGATCATGGGCATAAAGCACTCGGCATGATGCTTGGCATATGATAAGCGCTGTAGATATGTCAGCCATCACCATTACCTTCTCTCTGCCTTTTAACATGCTCGACTTCCCTTATTCCTTAAAAAAAAAGAAATTCTCTCTGTTCTGCAGGGCTTAGAGGCTCATCTCTGTTTTAAATACCAAATATCTGACAAAACAGGCAACCCCACTCACTCTGCCTCTACACCATGCACCCAATGACCCTTCGTCCCTGCAGTGGGACACCAGTACGTCATTTTACAGGAACACTATGAGAGTCACCTAGACTCCCCCTTGACTCTTCTACACCACTTGGCTATCCTGATCTTCAGGCTACCTTCTTTGATATCTGATGGATATCTATCTTTTCCTTCTCTGAAGGATGTGAACATATCTTTTTGTCTCTTCTCTTTTGCCTCATGTCTATTATAAGGTAGGTCACTGATGAGAATGTATAGCACATATGAATATCATAGACGCAGAAAACACTAGAAATACTTCCCTTCAATCTCATTTTAAGAGCTTGATAATATTCTCTCAGAGAGATGTACCATTATTTATTTAACCAATTTCAAATGGCTGGATATTTAGGTGGTTTCTACCTTTTTGCTATTATGAAAAATCTTGTGCATCCATTATTGTTTCCTCAGGATAAGGTCCTAAAAGTAAAATTGTTAAAGAGTGTATTCAATTTTAAGTTCTTTAATATGTATTGCTGTACTGCCCTCCAGAAAGGTTGTACTAATTTATTCTATTTTAGTTCTTTACAAAGAACTCCTGAGATATTTACCTGATTTCTCTCAGGATAATTGGTAGACCTTGGAGTTGGTTTATAATGCCCTCCATTTTACCACCAACTATAAATACTTAAAACAGTTGTATCAAGGATAGGACATTTTTATTTGCTTAAACACATTAATATATCACCTTGGTGTTACTTTAATAAGACAGTTCTTGTTATTTTCTTTTGGCATGGCAATTCACAAATAACTAGTGGAATACTTAAAAAATTGATCAAACCAGTTTTCTTGGTTTGTCAGGTAGCTAAAGTAAATTAGCATATGTGCTATATTTGTCAAATAGGCACATATCAGGAAAGGACTGCTTACTTAAGAAAAGATTGCTTAAGTCTCTTTAACATGAAATCATCTTTACTTCACTGTAGAATTTACACTTGGATAAGTAACAGTGTTCTTGACATTTAAAAAATTAGGGTAGAGCTGTCTTCCATGTTAAAAATGAAAGATAATTAATATTGCATATTGGCTGACATAGCCATTGCTCAATAAATATTTGCTGAATAAATGAATACCTGAGGCCACACAATTTTAAAGTAAAAATTATCTATGTGCCTTACTGGAAACCTTATACATAAGAACCTAAACTGATAGTCTATGATCTTTATTTGGCAGCATAAAATGTTTAAACGAGGCTCACTGACTAAAAAAACAAAAAAGGCTAGTCATAAATTAACCTGTGTTGTAAATGTGTACATCTCTATGGGAGCAAATTCATTTGCAGTGCAACCACATTTTATTTTTTAACCTACTAGAATTCTAGTAAAGCCAAAGTGACTGTAATCACTGAGGACCTAGGTACATCACAAAATGATGCATGTGATTCTATTACTGATGGTGGAGAATGGTACTGGAGGTTCAAGGTGAAAAAGGACAAAAGCACCTGCCACACTCCAGAAACCAGTATCTTATTCATACCTCTTTTGAGAGGTTAATAAAGCTGTCAGGGAAATAAAGAATAAAGCAATCAAAATCACAAAGGACAGACTGGCATAATTAAGGAAGCTTTCTATCCCTACGCACCCTAGATTACACATTACACATTACACATCTCATTTGGCTTAGTAAAGTCATTGTTGTGAAGGACTTACTTGCGAATTACACAGTAATAGTACTGATTGTAAACACAAATATCTACCATTTTCTTTCTATTACCCACCTTTTTCAGTGTAAAAAGCAGGGACTGCAATGTCTAAGTAGTAAAATTAATGAATATACTATGATGATAAAGTAGAAACCAGTTGGGATTAATGAAATATATGAATAGATTGATTTCAAATATTCTTATAGCTTTGTTAGGCAAAGTATTGATGGTGCTGTCATTGTATTTTCAACTTGCCAATCTTTTTTTAACCTACAAAAACGCAAGAGAAATACATCATAGGTACTTAATTTGTGGAAAAAAAATTAGTCTAATTACTGTGCTATTTATTAGTTCTCCCGAAGGTTTGGTAAGCAGAATACATTATTTAATCAGAACTTAATTTAAATTCACGTGTTGGTGATAAAAACATTTAATGTTAGTGGACTGATCTGATGAGGAATTTACTCAACTGAGTAATGTATGTTCACTAGGGGACAAAAAACAGACGAGCATTTTAAATGATAAACATAGGATGGAGTGAATATTTAGCTGAAGTTCACTTCCAAATACGACTTTTAAATCAAATCACAAAAGAAATAAATGCTCATTCTGAGTAACACAGAAAACAAATTTTCAAAGAAGAAAAAATAAACACCCATAATTCACTGCCAAGATAACTATTCTATTAATTAAGTGTACAATAAAGTTTTTCAGTAAAGTGTTTTCCAAACTTATCTGCTTAAAGGAACAACTTTGGAGAGCTTATTTAAAATGTAGATTCTTGAACCTCTCCCCTGGAAGTACTGACTCAGCATGTATGGGATGGGGCCTGGACAATCTATTTTTAACAAGCAACCCAGGTGACTTCTCATAGGACAAGTTTAGTAAATCCTATTTTCTAGGACACACCTTTTTCTGTGCATATATGCATGTACAAGTGCACACAAGCAGCTATTCTTTTGTGATGATTTATCCCTGTCAAGCCTGTTTTATGAGAGAATTTGGTATAGCTGATTTTTGCCAATCCTGCTGTACCCCTTTACAGATGATCTTTTAAAAAGGTGACACATTTGCCCTGCTGGTACCAGGTAAATGACAGCCTCTTCATTCAACCTACAGCCAGACCTCAGGAGGAGCAATCAGAAAAAGGGTTTTCTCTTCTCCAT